>NC_000009.12:98978127-99129642 GCF_000001405.40 Homo sapiens
ACATCAATTTCCCTGTCTAGAAAACAAGGATGTTGGATAGATTCATGAATTTTTGTTTTTAAGCAGACTCCTAGGCATAAGAATTCCCAGAATTGCCACATGCAAGCCTGGATCTACTGGCCATGGGAAGCACTAGGCTGGTTTAAGCAATGAGCTTTCTGAGTGGGAGCCTCTCAGGCCCTTCTCCCTGTGTCGCCTGAACGCTTAACCTGGCCCTGGATCCCTCAGAGACACCACTTGGAAACAAGCCACAGGATGTGAAGCTCTGGTGCTTTTACTCTCTGTGGCACCAGGAATTTTCCGAGCAGAAAGAGGCTTCCCCCTCCTGTTCCCAGCAGGAAAGAGAGAGGAAATAGAGGAAAAGCTTTTTACTGGATTGGATAAGCGAAGAAGAAAGCAGAGCTCTCAGTAGGGTGTTTGTGGTTTTGTTTTGTTTTTGTCTTTAAACCGTGGAGGAAAGAAAAGAAATCTCAGTGGGATGTGTGGTTTTCTTTGTTTCTTTTCCTTCTTTTTTTCTTTCTTTCTGTACAAAGATAAGCTGTATCTGAGTGAGGAAAAGCAAGAAGAATAGGTTTTATGATTTCTATAAGTGGATGCAAGGAGATAATCTCTTTAAAAATATGTAGATGTCTTTACTTTTCATACCATGTATATGCTGTAAAATAGAAAAAAGTATAAAAAGATATCCAGTGAAAAGCAAGTCTCCCAGCCCCCAGCCACCAGCTTCCTTCCCTGGAGACAACCACTGCCCCGTTTCTTGTGTATTCTTCTAGAGCTATTGTAATATACCATATATATTTAAATATATATGGTATATTTAATTTGTATTAGTACATACATTTCCAACTGATAGCAATTCACTTCTGCACCTTATTTTGTCTGTTTTTATATAGTACATCTTGATTGTTTCATATTAGTACTTAAGGAATCACATCTTTTGAAACGCTGCCTTGGATTTCGTTGTGTGAACCTGTCATCATTTATTATATTAATCATTCCCAAAGATGGGAATTTTAGGTAAATTTAAACCACGATGCTGTGAATATTTGTGTATGTACTTTATATTTCACATATGTAACTTTATCTGTTAAAAAATTCATAGACGTATGACTGCTGGGTCAACAAGTACATGCACATTTGCCATTTTGATAAATGTTATTAAATTGCCTCCCACCACGTTATAACAATTTATGCTCCTGCCAGTAACGCAGGAGAAGGCCTGCTGCCTTAAACCCTTGCCAACACAGCGTATTCTGGTCTTTGCCAATCTGATAGGGAAAATGGTATCCCTTCGTAATCTTAACTCATTCTATCATTATGAATGAGGTTGAGTATTTTTCATATGTTTAAGATTTTAATTTCTTTTACTGTGTCTAGAATTTTCTATTCTTTGCCCATTTTTCTTTTGGGTATTCATTTACTTTGCATATTAGAGAAATGAGTTTGTTGCTGTGATTTTTGTAGCAAATATCAGTCATTTCATGGTTTTGGGGTTTTCTTTGACATTGCAGGGATTATCTTTATTATTATTATTATTATTTATTAGTTCTATGCAGAACATTTTTTTCTAAGTGGTCAAATTTAACCAAATTTACCAATCTTTTAACTAAAATTAATTTCTGTTTTAAAGCAAGTTGTAAACTGGAGAGGATAAGCATTCAATTGAGAATCAAATCTGAGTTCATGGCCAGCAAACACTTCCTCTCTATTAACCTTAGTTTAGTGTTTTCTAAAATGAGGTGATTGGAGGCTGAGCGCAGGGGCTCACACCTGTAATCCCAGCATTTTGGGAGGCCGAGGCAGGAGAATCACTGATTCCAGGAGCTCGAGACCAACGTAGGCAATATAGCGAGACCCTGTCTCTACAAAAAAATGAAAAAATTAGCTGAGTGTGATGCTGCATGCCTGTAGCCCCAGACATTTGGGAGGCTGAGAGGTGGAAGGGTCATTTAAGCCTGGGAGGTGGAGGCTGCAGTGAGCTGTGATCATGCCACTGCATTCCCACCTGGGCAACAGAGCAAGACTCTTGTCTCAAAAAAAAAAAAAGAGGGGACTTGAGAATATGTACACATTCATTCATTTGTTCATTCATTCACTATAAGCCCTGGGTTGGTTACTGGGAAGACAGATGGCCCAGTGGGAAGAGAGGCAAGTGACCCAATAGTGACATGCAGGGGCTATGATGGAGGACCCCGTGTGTACAGAGAGGACTTCTAATGCAGCCCCCAGAGGGGAGGGTGTGGGTGCGGGAGGTGAAGCGAGATTTCAGGGGAAGCGAGGCCTGGGCTGATGAGCAGGAGTCATTCAGTGAAAATAACTGGGCTGGGCTGGGGCAGATGGCACAGAGGAAAGCATTCCTGGCAGGGGTGGGAGTCCCTGGGACAGCATGGGGCACGCTGGGGCTGTGTCAGGCATGTCAGGGAGTAGGGAGTGCAGCTGGGTCCTGACCACAGAGGGCCTCTTGAGCCAGGTGGCAGCAGCCTGGTCAGCCCTGGCCCTGAGGGCCATGAAAAATCCTATTTCATAGAAGGCTTCTAAGCAGGATAGCAACAGGATCAGATGTGCTCTTTTGTCGAGGAGGGGTTAATCGTTTTCATAAAAATTGTATGAAATATTTTCCATGAAATTTGCTATAAAGAAAAATACAATGAATATTTCTTTTGAATACCACCTGAACAATTAACACTATCACTACCGTTGAAAAGCCCCGTGGACCTCTCCCAAATTGCATCTCTCTGCCTCCCCTAAATGTTGGCAAGAATATGCTGCTGGTGGGTCTGCGACATGCATGACACGGTTGCTTCAGAGAACAATTTTGCAATATTCAGGGAAGCTGTAGGTGCACATACCCATATTATCCAATAATTCCACTTCCAGCTGTGGAATTACCTGCACAGGTAAGCAGGAGGAGATGTGTATAAGGGAGTCCGTGGCAGTATCATTTGTAATATTGATGGAAACCTCACCTTCCACCAACAGAAATGTGAATCAACCCATTGTAGCTTATTTATACCATAGAGTACTGTTGTGAAAATATAAGGCCAGGCCAGGCGCGGTGGCTCATTCACGCCTGTAATCCCAGCACTTTGGGAGGTCAAGGTGGGCGGATCACCTGAGGTCAGGAGTTCGAGACTAGCCTGGCCAACATGGCGAAACCCCGTCTCTACTAAAAGTACAAAAATTAGCCAGGCATGGTGGTGGGCACCTGAATCCCAGCTACTCAGGAGGCTGAGGCAAGAGAATCGCTTGAACCCAGGAGTCAGAGGGTGCAGTGAGCCGAGATTGTGCCACTGCACTCCAGCCTGGTCAACAAGAGCGAGACTCTGTCTCAAAAAAAAAGAAAAGAAAATATAAGATCAGAGCCACATGTATCAACAGGGATAAATCTAAAAAATACAATGCTGAGTGAAAAATAAAAGCAAGTTTCAGAAGAATGTGTGCATCATGCCACCATTTATATGAGGTGTAGAACACACACCATGGTTCTACATTCTGTTAGAAACACGTATCGAGTGGACATACAAATGCGTGGGAGTGATAAACACCAAATTCACAAGAATGGCTCCTGCCAGAGCATGGGCAGAGGAAAAGGACTGAAGAGAGTTCATGGGAGCTTCAGCTGAATTGATACTGTCTTTCTTACGTGGAGTGGTGGGCACATACTTGTTCCTCATAATATTATAATTATTTTTTTTAGAGACAGGTCTCACTCTGCCACCCAGGCTGGAGTGCAGTGGGGTGATCATAGCTCACTGTAGCCTCAAACTCCTAGGCGCAAGTGATCCTCCTGGCCCAACTTCCAGAGTAGTAGATTACAGGCACGCACTACCACATTCTGCTAATTTTTAAATTTTTTGTAGAGATGGTCTCTCTGTGTTGCCCAGGCTGGTCTCAAACTCCTGGCCTCAAGCAATTTTCCTACCTTGGCCTCCTAAAACACTGGAATTACAGGCATGAGCCACCATACCAGGCCCTATTTTAAAATTTTAAAAAATGATATATATAGAGAGAGATAGGGTATTTCTTTGTTGCCCAGGCTGAAGTGCAGTGGCATGATCGTATTTCATTGCAGCCTCAAACTCTTGGGTTCAAGTGATTCTATCACCTCAGCCTCCCGAATAGCTGGGACTACAGGCACACATGACCACACCCATTAATGTATAATGTATTTTATTTATCCATTGTTTTTCAAAATGATTTCAACATATAATCAATATAAATAGTATTGAGATATTTTTCCAAGCAAAGTCTTTGAAATTTAGTTTGTAGTTTACATTTATGACACATCTCAGTTGGGAAGACCCATTTTTCAAGTGCTCAATAGCCATATGTGGCTACTGGTTATCAAATCAGACAGGGCAGGGTCTGGTACGATAGAAACTTAGAGGTCACCAGTTACAACCTGATACAACTTTATCAACAGATAGAGTTGTGTCAGGTGACCTCTGCGGTTCTTTTCTAAACCAGCAAGTCTAGATGACAGTGATGACGATGATGATGATGATGATGGCTGCCTTTTTTCTTTTTTTTTTTAGACAGGGTCTCGCTCTGTCACCCAGGCTGGAGTGCAGTGGCATGATCATGGCTCACTGCAGCCTTGATCACCTGGGCTCAAGCAATCCTGCCACCTCAACCTCCTGGGTAGCGGGGACTACAGGTGCACACCACCTGGCTTTTTTGTTGTTTTGTGGAGATGAGGTCTCACTATGTTGCCCAGGCTGGCCTTGAACTCCTGGGCTCAAGTGATCTGCACTCCTTGGCCTCCCAAAGTGTTGGGATTACAGTTGTGAGCCACAGTGTGTCCAGCCATGATATCCACCACTTTTTAGGCATTTGGCATGTGCCAGCACTTTGTATTATGTCCTTTAATCCTCACAACAACGCTATAGGCTAATTACTCGCTTTTTTTAAAATTGTGGTTAAGCATACATAGCATAAAATTTGGTATTTTAACCATTTAACAACCAAGTGTCTCATATTGTTCTTTATACTGTATTTTTTTGTGTAACCTAGATATTCCATAATAATTGAGGTTAGTACTGGCGGTGAGCAGCCTTCTCTGTGAGTGTTGCGGAGTTGAGATGGGGGCATGGCAGTCAGGGCATCTCCCTCTCCCAGCCACTAAGTATACATACCCATTCATGGGAAGTTTGAGTTCCTGGACCACCTGGAGTCTTGACTCCATCCTTCTTGCTGCTGAAGGGTCATTGATATAGTAGGCAGACTAGGTGGAGCCCCACCCGCAACCCCGGTACAGACTCCCCCATCTCAGTGAGGCTGCAGCAGTGAATCAGCCAGAAATCACACCAGCCATGGCTCGAAAATGTCCTGCCACTTACCAGCTGCATAACCTCGGGCCAGTCATCTCATCTTCCCAAGGGATAAGAGCAGTTAATTGCCAGGGCTGCTGTGAGGACTGAGTAAAACTATGCATGAAAACCACATTGTTATTATTCTTTATAAGGGAGCTCAAGGGCACAGAGGCAGGCTCCCATGTCAGCCTCACTTTCCTGGTCAGTGCTGCAGGCGTGATTATCCCTGCGCATTGACCTCTTGAGATTGTTCAGTGGATATAATAAAAATAAAGAATAGCGAATGTTTGTTGCACTGCTACCATTATTAACCAGGGGTTTCCGTGGACGGTCTCATTTAGTCATTCTTTTGGAGCCCATTCTAGTGCCTGTATGATAGAGGAAGACACTCAGACTTGGAGTGGTTCAGTGACTCACTGGAGTTCACACAGCTACGTAGTTGTGTCCAATAAGATGGTGGCAAGTTGGGTAAACTGGAAATCAGGCTGATTCCTCAGGTAGGGCTTTCCTTAGAGGGTCTCTCGAGTGTTTGGGGTTTTCTCTGGAGACAAACCCGCCAAGTCCTCAGAAACCACTTAGGTTCTCAGTGGCCTCTGGCCTTTGGCGATAGCCCAGACAGCCATCAATCAGTCTGCCTTGCCCTCTGGCCTCCAGAGGAGGACACTGCTCGATTCTGATCCTCACTCATTCCAGGCCTCCTCATCTGGTTGAATCCTCAGGATCCGGCTTCACTTCCAAGGCCAAAGGGTGTTACTTGTCCATTGTCCTGGCTACAGTGGTCTTGTCCCCCTCTCCCTGGGACTTGCCTTCCTGTCTCACTACTGGTACCTTGGATGTCAACTCAGAAGTGGGTGCATGTTGCTGCAAGCTAGTCTGCAGCTTTCTCCTGGGGAAAATACTTGGATGGGCCAACATTCTGGAGCCTGGGGGCCTTTTCAGGACACCATAATGGAGCTCCACCATTTCTCCCTGCAAGGTGTGGTGGCATAGCCTCTGGGGTCAGATGCTCTGGGTTTGAAACCTGCATGCAACTTACCTTGAGCAAATTTGTTAATTTCTCTAAGCCTCAGTTTTCTCAGAAGTAAGATGGGGATAAGAGTACCTAACCTCATAGGTTTGTTGTGAGGATTACATGAGCTAATGTATGCAGAGCGCTTAGAGCAGGGCCTGGTGCAGACAGAGCTTAGGGAATGTGGATGATGATGGCGGTGATGTCAAAGGCGATGACAATGACGCAAATTTCAATTGCCTTGAGGCCTGGGAACACTTCACTGTGTCCCTGATTTTCCCTGCACACTCAGAGGCACTTAAACAATAGACCTCATTCAAAACAAAACAAACCTATCCAGTTTTTTTGTTTTTGTTTTTTTGAGATGGACTCTCCCTCTGTCACTGAGGCTGGAGTGCTGTGGTGCGATCTCAGCTCACTGCAACCACCACCTCCGGGGTTCAAGTGATTCTGCTGCCTCAGTCTCCCAAGTAGCTGAGATTGCAGGCATGTGCCAGCATGCCTGGATAATTTTTGTATTTTTAGTAGAGACGAGGTTTCACCATGTTGGCCATGTTATCCTCGAACTCCTGACCTCAAGTGATCCACCCACCTGGGCCTCCCAAAATGCTGGGATTTTAGGCGTGAGCCACCATACCTGGCCCCTATTCAGTTTTATAGTGGGGAAAAAAAAAATCTCCAAGTCGATGGGTGAACATTATATATTCTAGGGATTACTCATAAGTGTTTTCCAAACGCAGGTCATGAACTATTAGTGGGTTATAAAATCAATTTAGTAATTAATTACCAGCATGTTTTTAATAAAATGAAGCAGAAAAAGAATAATTAAATGAAAAGAAAAATATTTGAGTGCCTGGTGAGTATTAAATCATGTTCTATGAAACTTCTGTTTCAGTGTTACAGATATCTGTCTACACGTGTGTATATTGGGTTGCAGTGCAAATGCATTTCTTTTTGTGGGTCGTTGTCAAAACGTTTGAAAAACAACCATTTAGGAACTACAGTTTCAGTGGGGTTCCTGAGTGATCCCGTTTCATTTGTGACTGCGTTTCTTCCTCATTTTCAAGCAAAGTGGAATATACCTGTAAAGCGTGGCCTCTCTCTCCCTCCCTGCAGAGACTGCTTCCCAGGGTCACCTGGACCTCACGCAGCTCATCGGTGTCCCGCTGCCCTCGTCCGTATCCTTTGTCACAGGCTATGGTGGCTTCCCGGCCTACAGTTTCGGGCCTGGTGCCAATGTTGGCCGCCCAGCCAGGACTCTCATCCCATCCACCTTCTTCAGGGACTTCGCCATCAGCGTCGTGGTGAAGCCCAGCAGCACCCGTGGTGGCGTGCTCTTCGCCATCACTGACGCCTTCCAGAAGGTCATCTACCTGGGCCTGCGGCTCTCAGGTGTGGAGGACGGCCACCAGCGGATCATCCTCTACTACACGGAGCCAGGCTCCCATGTGTCCCAAGAGGCTGCTGCCTTCTCGGTGCCTGTGATGACCCACAGGTGGAACCGCTTCGCCATGATTGTCCAGGGTGAGGAAGTGACCCTCCTCGTGAACTGTGAGGAGCACAGCCGCATCCCCTTCCAGCGGTCCTCCCAGGCTTTGGCTTTTGAGTCCAGCGCTGGAATCTTCATGGGCAATGCAGGAGCTACAGGGCTCGAGAGATTCACTGTGAGTTAAAGTCCCACTCCAGGTAGATCAGGGAGGTGGATGAACAGACTCGCCATGCAATAAATGGAGCAACTATTATTGTTATTATTTTATTCTTATGTCCTCAAAGAAGCATGCGTGTTATGATGGGAAATAACACTAGGCCTGGAACCCCAAAACCTAGATTTCCATCCTCAGTTTTCAACTTACCTTGTAAATTTGAGACAGTTATCCAGATTCTCTGATCCTCTCTGTGTTTCCTTATCTGTAAGTGGAGATAAGAAAACCTACCCCACAGTCTTGTAGGTCAAATAAGATAATCTGTGTGAAAGCACTTTGTACGTTTTAAGATTTTATATAAAAGAGCAAGGTTTGTTATAGCCCTAAATGGTTTGATCTTTGGATATGGGTGACAATTGCACGTAAGTAATTTCTGAAAAGGTGGGATACACTAGAATACCAGAGTGAGAGGTAGCTTTTCCCGCCTTCTAGGCAATGTGCACTTAAAAAAAATTTAAACTGACTTTACTATCAAAATGGGCTTTTATGAATAAGGCATTCTAAAGATCACTAAGTTATTGTAGTTACTCATTTAGTCAGCACACGTATTTACTGATGTCTCGTTGGTGAACAGGACAGCACCACGGGGTGGAGTTTGGGTTTATCTGGAGTAGAGTGAAAGACATTGGAGAATGTTAAGAAGTTAAAACACAAAGGGCAATTTTTAAATGCTCACTTTAGGAGCCTCATGGAGAGGAAGCTGTCAGGTGTGGGGAGAGGGGAGGAGAGTGGAGGCAGGGAGGCTGTGGTAGCCCTTCTTGGGACGAGGCCTTCAAACTCAGAAGCATTGAGCTGCAGGGGAAAGAGCTTTCTGGGAGAGGGAGATGTGCGTTTCAGGGCCTGCCGCTGACAAGCTGGGGACCTGGAGACAGGAGGCTGCTGTGGTGTGCACACTTGAACACAATGCTCCCCAAGGGCCTCTCTGGCCCAGGGGTCAGTATGATACTGGCCCAAGGAGAGTCCCCCCATAACTGAGAGTGGGCCAAGAGGTGGCCTGGCTTCGTGGTTGAGACTGCAGGCTGTACATCCTCATTCCCACGCTTTTACCTGTTCGTCTCCATTGCCAAAACAATCATGTCTTCCACTGGCAGTCATGCTGTGTACGTGCAAACCGTGGCTTCTGATCCGTCTCTTTTCCCCAGGGCTCCCTCCAGCAGCTCACCGTGCACCCCGACCCCAGGACTCCCGAGGAGCTGTGTGACCCTGAAGAGTCCTCGGTGAGCTCCCCTACTATCCCACAGTGGGCCCTGCAACCCCAGCAGCCGCAGCCTGGGGAGGGCTGGATGCCCAGACAGTGGCGTGGAGTTTCTGAAACCTCTCATTTTGGCAACTGCTGCCTCAAGTCCTATTTTGGGCTTTTGGCGTGATTTCACTTTTTAAAGAGCATCAGCCATCTCTGGTGTGGGGAGCTGTGTTTCTTATAAGGTGTCAGGATCTTCCATGGCTGTGGCCGTCAATGGCCTGCTTTCCCGCCTTCTTGCCAAGAAATGGTGTCAAGATTCTAAAATCAAAGTTAAAACTGAGATATTCTGGGAGTAAATTCCTATAAAAAACGATCCTCAACTTAGCTTTTATGCTTGGCAAATGAGTTCGTTCCTAAGCTGGGGATGGAGTGGTGGGCAGGAAAAAAAAGATGACTCCTTCTTCCCTCCCTCTAAGGATTGACTGAGCACCTGCTGGGTGCCAGCCCTGGGTAGGTGCTGGAGATAAAGGAATAACTGGGAACTGTTTAATAAGCTGCTCATATGCACTTCCATACCCAAATACAGTGGCAGAGCTGAGTGTGATGGGAAAAGGGGGAGATCCTCAAACCCAAACTCAACGTTGTCAGGTGGGAGCAGGAGAGGAAAGAGGAGGAACTTGAAGCCAGTTAGGGAGCAGGTGATGCCTGACCAATGACAAGGGTGAGGCCTCCCAGGGAGAAGGGGTCCAGGATGCAGTCAGAGGTGAGCAGAAGGTAGCGCATTCCTGCAATTCCTGTTGCCTTTTGGGTGGCATCAACGTCACAACAGAACATAAATTGATTTTGTTAACTTTGTAAAAAACAAAATGCTGTCGATTTCGTTGGAAAGCCCCTGAGAGGTGGAATTTGGGCCTGTGAGAATGCCTGTGTTCCATGAGCCAGTGGTCCCAGCCTGACAGTCATGTGATGCTGATCAGTGTAGTCACGCGTTAGTCTCTGCATTGCCATTAATACTGAAAAAGTAGAAACAACCCAAGGGTCCAAGAACAAGGGATTGGTTACAAAATCACAGCACTCGGGCTCCTTGTCTGCCTTTAGGAGGCTAATTAGAAAGATTAGGTAATGCCAGGAAGTCATGCTTCGGCTGTAATTGTTCCCAGCGCAAGATTCCAATGACAGCCTCACAAAGGTTGGGAGAGTGGTGGGGACCTGGATCGAATGAAAGTAGATATGTTAGAGAGAGTGAGAAATCATTGTGTATTCTGTTAGAGCAATAAAATGTGGAAAGAAATAAAATGAACAACCAGGCTGGGCGCAGTAGCTCACGCCTGTAATCCCAGCACTTTGGGAGGCCGAGGTGGGTGGATCACTTGCGGTCAGGAGTTGGAGACCAGCCTGGCCAACATGGTGAAACCCCATCTCTACAAAAAATACAAAAATTAGCCCGGCGTGGTGGCGTGTGCTTGTAATCCCAGCTACTCGTGAGGCTGCGGCAGGAGAATCGTTTGAACCCAGGAGGCAGAGTTTGCAGTGAGCTGAGATCGCACCACTGCACTCCAGCATGGGTGACAGAGTAAGAGAGAACCTGTCTCAAAAAAATAAAAAAATAAAAATAAATAAATAAAACAAATAACCAACCATGCACACTGCACACACGCTGTCTCCTTAACCCCACTCCGTCTCTCATAGACACACACACACACACACACACACACACACACACACACACACGGTTTCCCTGTAGGAGAGTCGGTTTGTCAGTTTCTGTAACTTTCCCAGTCATCCAACTCTTATGGGCCCTGCCCGCTCTGCCCGGTGTGTGGCACAGTTTGTCTCCACACAGGCATCTGGAGAGACCAGTGGGCTGCAGGAGGCAGACGGAGTAGCTGAGATCTTAGAAGCCGTCACCTACACTCAAGCCTCGGTGAGTACTGGGATGCTGTGCCATGTGATCTTGCTCAGCTTTTAGCAGGCTGAGAATTACTAGAGGGGGCCCAGAGTCCTGGGTCTGACCTCTTTGTTTCCAGACCTGTGAGCTTAATCGTTGACTCATCTGGGGGGGTCAGGAAAATAATGGCCAATGGGCACTTTGCAAAATCCCCTGGTGAACCGCAACACCAGCTTCCTCAGTGCCACCCTGTGTGTGGCCATCAGAGGGCTGTCAAGGGCAAACGCTGTGCTGTATTGCTTTGGAGCCTTGGGTAAAAAGCCTGTGGCCTTAGGTAACTTACTCAACCATTCTGAACCTCAACTCCTCTTCCAAGAATGGTGATTCTAATAGCCCTATCTCATAGGGTTGTTTCCAGGGTTAGATGATGAAGTGCAGGGACAAGCCTCAGCCCAGCATCTGGCATGAGGGAAATGGCCCTGAACGATGGCTCTTGTTATATTTGCTCAGTGCTCCAGCTGTGAAAGCACAGTCAGGACCCCAGTCTTGTGAGTCACAGAGTCCTCCAGGGAGCTCACTTCTGACGCATGGGAAAGGCAATCCTAACTTCCAGTGGCCTGGACCTCCTCCCTCCTGGGAATGCTCCCTGTGGCTGAGACATGGAAGTGGTTTTGAAAGCACTGAGTCAGACTGTGGGGACACCCAGGAGCCTGTTTTTAATGAAAACAGCAAGCAGCAGCAGAGTCACTAAATACAGCAGAGCTTCAGCCGTCTCCTTGCCTGGTCAGGCTACTTTGTAAACGTATCTCTAATAGAAGAAATCAGGGAGATGGAAATTAGGCAGTGGCTGGAGATTACAGACCTTGGGCAGCAGGGCTGTGCATGCAGCAGAGCTGTGGATGCAGCAGAATAGAACTAGACTCTGTTAGCACTGGAAGGACCCAAAGTCCTGTACATCTCTTTCTGTACAGAGGTGTACGGAAAACTGCCCTTTGTGTACAAACTGAGCAAACCAAGGCCCAGATAGGGGAAGACACTGACTGAAGGGTGTATGGGCCGGACTGGGGTAACAGCATGAGTCTCCTGATGCCCATCCATGGGGTCATGGCCTGAGTGGTATTGCAAAAGTCCATCCCAAGGATGGCGGCCAACTCTTGGCCAGTTGGGATGAATGAAGTCAAGGGTCCAAGTTGCCTGCCTACCTGGTGATTGGGGAGGGCAACTGCTTTGGGTGGTGTGGCTATCCTGTGTGCCCATCAGCCCTTGGCCATCCCACAGGCATGTCCCAACCTGGGGCAGTAGGACACAGAGTGGCCTTCACATCTGATGCTGCCCTGTGCACCAGTTCACAATTCACAGCGAAGCCAACTCAGGCAAAGGTGCCAACAGCCCAAGGTTGCCCTTAGAGAGGGACAGGAAAGGAGAGTGGAGTTTGAGCCTGAGATGATCACAGGGGACAGAAGTAGGGCAGAGAAGCTTGGGAGGGGGCACCAGAGCTGGGCAGCTTTGGACAGAGATAGAGAAGTGGGAGGGGAAGGAAGAGAACTGGCATTTCTTGATACCACTGTGTACCTGGTGCTATTGTGTCTGGAATTGGTGGGTTCTTGGTCTCACCGACTTCAAGAATGAAACCACGGACCCTCGCGGTGAGTGTTACAGTTCTTAAAGGTAGTGTGTCTGGAGTTTGTTCCTTCTGATATTTGGATGTGTTCAGAGTTTCTTCCTTCTGGTGGGTTCCTGGTCTCGCTGTCTTCAAGAGTAAAGCTGCAGACCTTCGCGGTGAGTGTTACAACTCTTAGGGCAGTGCCTCTGGAGTTGTTTGTTCCTCCCGGTGGGTTCATGGTCTTGCTGGCCTCAGGAGTGAAGCTGCAGACCCACCCCATGAGTGTTACAGCTCATAAAGTCAGTGCGGACCCAAAGACACTAACAGCGATATTTATTGCAAAGAGCAAAAGAACAAAGCTTCCACAATGGGAAAAGGACCTCACCAAGTTGCCGCTGCTCACTCAGGCAGCCTGCTTTTGTTCCCTTATCTGACCCCCCCCCACATCCTGCTGATTGGCCCATTTTACAGAGAGCTAATTGGTCCACTTTACAGAGAGCTGATTGGTCCGTTTTACAGAGAGCTGATTGGTCCATTTTGACAGGGTGCTCATTGGTGCGTTTACAATCCCTGAGCTAGACACAGAGTGCTGATTGGTGCATTTACAATCCTCTAGCTAGACACAAAAGTTCTCCAAGTCCCCACTAGATTAGCTAGACACAGAGCACTGATTGGTGCATTTACAAACCTTGAGCTAGATACAGAGTGCTGATTGGTGCATTTATAATCCTCTAGCTAGACATAAAAGTTCTCCAAGTCCCCACTAGATTAGCTAGACACAGAGCACTAATTGGTGCGTTTACAAACCTTGAGCTAGATACAGAGTGCCGATTGATGCATTTACAATCCTCTAGCTAGACATAAAAGTTCTCCAAGTCCCCACTAGATTAGCTAGACACAGAGAACTAATTGGTGCGTTTACAAACCTTGAGCTAGACACAGAGTGTTGATTGGTGTGTTTACAAACCTTGAGCTAGACACAGAGTGTTGATTGGTGTGTTTACAAACCTTGAGCTAGACACAAGAGTGCTGATTGGTGTATTTACAATCCTTTAGCTAGACATAAAAGTTCTCCAAGTCCCCACTAGATTAGCTAGACACAGAGCACTGATTGGTGCATTTACAAACCTTGAGCTAGACACAGGGTGCTGATTGGTGTGTTTACAATCCTTTAGCTAGACATAAAAGTTCTCCAAGTCCCCACCCAACTCAGGAGTCCAGCTGGCTTCGCCTAGTGGATCCCGCACGAGGGCAGCAGGTGGAGCGGCCTGCCAGTCCCACGCTGCCTCCTCAGCCCTTGGATGGTCGATGGGAACAGCCGCCGCAGAGCAGGGGGCGGTCCCCGTCAGGGAGGCTTGGGCCATGTGGGAGCCCACTGCCAGGGGGCTCGGGCATGGCAGGCTGCAGGTCCCAAGCCCTGCCCTGCGGGAAGGCGGCTGAGGCCCAGTGAGAATTCGAGAGCAGTGCGGGCCGGTCGGCAGTGCTGGGGGACCCGGCACACCCTCTGCAGCTGCTGGCCTGGGTGCTAAGCCCCTCACTGCCCAGGGTCGGTGGCACCGGCTGGCCGCTTAGAGTGCGGGGCCCGCCGAGCCCACGCCTACTTGGAACTCTCACTGGCCCGCAAGCGCTGCACGCAGCCCTGGTTCCTGCCCACACGTCTCTCTCCACACCTCCCCACAAGCAGAGGGAGCCGGCTTCAGCCTCTGCCAACCCAGAGAGGGGCTCCCACAGTGCAGTGGTGGGCTGAAGGGCTCCTCAGGTGTGGCCAGAGTGGACGCCAAGGCCGAGGAGGCACTGAGGGCGAGCGAGGGCCGCCAGCACGTTGTCAATTCTCGCTATTGTATGCATGATTTCACTTTTGTTTCTTGCCACCCTGCAAGGTAGGTGGCATCAGCCCCATTGTGCAGATTCAAAAATGAATGCCCAGGAGGTGGGGTGCCTCTTCCAGGGTCACAGGGTAGTGAAGTCAGGACTCAAGCCAGGCCTCACTCCCCAGGCTTGGACCCTCCCCAGGACCATGGCACTGCAGGCACTGGGGCAGATGTGGGGCACGTGTCAGCCAAGGGGGGCTATGAAATCAATCCCCAGACTATCTGGAAAAGTGAAAAAGAAAAAGTTGTTGGTGATTTGATGGACTTGGTGGCCTCTGGGGAACCTCTAACACTTTCTTTCCATGCTTCCCCAACCCAACTTTTCTCAGTGGTTTTATGGGAACTGGTGCATATCAGAGTTCCACCAAGCGTGAATCCCAGCTCTGCCACTTACTAGCTCTTGACCTTGAGCAAGTGACTTAAGCTCTCCAAGGCTCAGTTTCCTCCTTGGTTACAATAGAGTGGACCTGCCTCATAGGGTCAGTGTGAAAATTAGACAAATTGCCCTGTGCAAAATGCTTGGACAGTGCCTGTTGTTGCTACTGTTGACCAGTGGGTTTGTTGTGAGGATTAAGGGAGGTGATGTGATGTGTCAGAGAGCAGCTCAGTGCTGGACTCAGCACCGGGCATAGTACAGATGCCTCGTTCCTCTTGGGGCCTCCTGGTTGGCCAGTGGCTTGGGCTGACAGGCATGCCAAACCCCTGTGGCTGCCTTCAGTTATTAAGGGGATTGCCCTGGGCTGTGCCTCGAGGCCTGATGGTCCTGACCTTAACCTGTCTGTTCCTGATCATCAGAATGCCTTCCCTGTGCACCCGTCTGTCTGCACCACAGTTCACGCTCTTCCACATGCTTCCATTTCCTTTAGTCTCATTTGCAGGGAGGTGTTTGGGGTCTCTTCTACATAGGAGGGCACTGAGGCCATGGAGATGGTTGCTGGAGGCACCCAGCCTGGAGGTGGCAGAGCCAGGTCTCCAGCTCAGGGTCCAGAGTGCACTCAGTCATGCCACCCCTGAGCTGGGGACTTCCCCCTTTTAACATCTCCTGGAAGGGCTTTATGGCATTTTCCGGCAGCCACCCTCTAGGACGGGGAATTTCCCTCTTCAGCTCAGACAGTCCCCGCCCGCCCCTTGTCTGTCTAACTTCTTTCTTGGAATGAATCTCACTTCCCCATCCTCAGCCTTTCCAGCCTGCCACCCTTTGAGACATGAGCCGTCGCCAGTGAACTGAATTGCAGACTTTCTGAGTGGTCAGGGACTACAAAGTCTGCCCCTCCTTGCCTTCTTCCCCATTTAGGATTGGGGTCCTTGCTATCCAATTCTTTGCATTTTCAGAAAGTTCTATGCTGTTGGAATTAACATCCCTGTGGTTCTCAGCCCTGGCTGTGCATCAGGGTCATTTGTGTGTAAGTGTGTGTTGGGGGTGGGGGTGGCATGGGGGGTTGGGGAGGCACTGTGTTGGGGGGATTGGTCTTTAAAAGCAGATTCTTGCCTGGGCTGTAGACCTGGATGTTCAGCTTCAGTAGATCTGGAGTGAAAGATCCTAGAATCTGTATTGACAAAAAGCTCTGCAGGTGATTCTGGTCCTCAGCCAGGGCCTCTTTCCCAACCACACCCAGATGCTCACAGTTCTCTGGACAGACCGAGCACTTTCTCCCCTCCATGGCGCCTTAGTTCCTGCGGTTCTGTTTGCCTGGAGGGCCCCTCCCAGCTCCCATTTCTGCCTGGCAAGTTCCTACTTAGCCTTCAGGATCCAGTCCACATCCTCTCCTTGGAGGCCATTATTTAGCTAAGCCCCCTCCTCGCACTTGGCTCTCACTCACGCCATCCCATGCATCACTCCGAATCATGGTTTGTTGCGTCTGGTCTAGGTCTGGGGATCCTCCATCACCTGACAGCTTGAGGACAGACACGCTGTCTTAGTTATTCATTTCTGTGTCCCCAGGGCTCAGCCAAGGACCTAGCACACGGTAGGGCCTCTGGAAATATGTGCAGAATGAGTAAATCTGATTGTGTGGACGTGAGCCTGGACTCAGCAAATTGCAACACTTTTAATAGCAAGTCTTCAGACTTGAGGTTCCTATTTTGTCACAGGCCACACTGGATCCCCATTCACATTGACCTCTGAAAACCAAAGCCACCTATTTGAGGCAGGTCCCCTTACCCTCACTCCTGAGGGTCAATTCACCAGAACCATGCCCTGTCCTTGCAGGGGGGTTGGGATGCCTTGTTGGGAGTTTGACAACTTCAGCCACCCTGAGTTACAGAGCTCAGCCCCCATCTCGTTGTCTTCCTATGTTTCCTGAACCCTCACCTGCCCTGCCCGCCTCATCCCAAAGTCCAAATGCCTTATAGAGCACCTTTGCTACCAGCCACCAGCAGCCTCACTCCAGACTAGAGATGAGCATTCAGGGGCTTGAGCATTGGTTCCTGAACAAGTGATGGAGTGGCTTCTGCCTTGATCCCTCACAGGGAGAGGAGAGGAACCTCCTGGGCAGGGGTCTTTATCTTCCCTGCTAGATGAACATCCATCTGGGTGAAATGGAGACATCCCACCTGGTCTTGTTCACAACCTCCCCTGGGGAGGTGCCTGCTGTCTGCTCCCACTGCTGCCCTGGTTCCTGTCTTGTGGACTTCTTTACTGCCACCCCCCAGTCACCTGGCGTAAGCCTCAGCTCCCCTAGTCCATGATCACACTGCCACCAGCGAGGACTCTCTAAAACACACAGCTGCCCCCACCACTCCCTCTCCCGATGCTCCCCAGTGGCTGCCTGTGGCCCTTGGGTTCAAGCCCATTCTTCTCCCCACAGAACCAGCTCCTCCCTCTGCCTGCCTCCCTGGGCTCTGTTCCACTGCTTCCCTCCTCAAGCCCTGGGCTCTTGCCAAGCTCAAGTTGCCAGGCCCTGACTTTCATCAACCCTCCACCCCTGTGTTCTGAAACCCTGCTCATTCTCCAAGGCCCAACTCCTTAAAGCCTTTCCTCCCACCTCCACCCTGAAGATTTTACAGTACAATAGAATCCATGGTGATTGTCTCTGGGTGTTAGGACTCAAGGTGATTTCTCTTTTTGCTCATCTGTACTTACAGTGTTTTCAATAACAAATATGGAATATTTATGTACTAAATATAAAGGTGTGCTTAGCCCTTCCATGCATTTTCTATTTCCTGCCTTCAAGTAGTTCTTTATTGTCCTCATTTTTACAGAGGAGGAAGCTGAGGTTCAGTGAAGCTCCATGACTTGCCCAACATAACTAAGCTTATAAGTGGAGAGCTGGGATTTGATCCAGGTCTGACTGTAAGAAATGAACTATTAAATTCTAAATGATGGGGCTTCCAAGAATCCTCCTTGTTCCATGGACCAGAAATTTTTTGATTTACTAGATTCTGAATTAAGGAAATAACCTTCTGTTATTAGTCAGGAAAGGTAAGTGATGCTGCAGTAACAAATTAACCTCAAAAATCTTAGTGCCTTACAAAACAAAGATTGGTTTCTTGTTCATACCACGAGTTCAACACTGATTCACAGGATTCTTCCATGCACCCCCAGCCCCTTTAGCTTAGAAAGTGATGAGGCTATCTGAATGCTGACAAGCGCTGGGTCCCGCGAGCTGCTGCTTGGGTCCAGGGGTGATGCTGTGACTTTTGGAGCCCATGCTAGGATTTCTGCGTAGATCACTGAAGCACTCTGTGTTTCTGTTGGGGTTTTGTTTGTTTGCTTTTCTCTAGTTGGTAATGTTGGTTAAGACACTGACTGGCTTTGGAAAAGCTATATAGATGCTGAAGTTTCCTCGGAAGGAACCACACCCGTCTTTCATTTTCATAGGTGTTTTCATATCTGGCATTGAATTTATATGCAGTTTATTGAGTGCAGCCTGGTTCATTCATTTGTTCACTAATTCATTCAATCATTCCCTCCTCTAACAGATCTTTACTGGGCACCTCCTCTGGCTGACCTGGGATTTGGGAATCACAGAAATGTGGTCCCTGTGCTCAGAGAGCTTTGGCTGAGATGAATAGTCTCACTGTCAAGTGAACAGAATCTAATGACCTCTAGTAGGCACCTCTTTCAGGCCCTGGGAGGTGCAGCCATTGCCCAGGTAGACACCAAGTGGGGCCAAGCTTTCCCCTTGGTTTATTCAGCATCTTGTGGATATATTATTTTCTTCAGTGATATTCTCTGTCATTTCTTCTGCTTTACTGCCAAGTAAATCATTTTGCATCTCATTTTTCCTCCCTTCAGCCCAAAGAAGCAAAAGTTGAACCCATAAACACACCTCCAACTCCATCCTCCCCCTTTGAAGACATGGAACTTTCTGGTGAACCTGTACCCGAGGGGACCCTGGAAACCACCAACATGAGCATCATCCAGCACAGCAGCCCCAAACAAGGCAAGTCCGGATGCACATGCCTACGTAGTGGCCTTTTATTGGGTGATTACTATGTGTCCAGCCGGGGCCATGTATGTAACATACAGAATCTCATTTAACCTTCCCCTCAACCCTTTAAGAAAGGGTGAGAACCACCCTCATTTTACAGACAAGAGGAGGAAATTGAGCCACAGAGAAGTTAAGTAACCCAGCCAGGAGCAAACAGCTTGTGAATGGCAGAGCTGGCATTTGAGCTCAGATAGCAGATCTTCTAACCCCCAGATCTGGAGCTTCTAACTCCCAGATTCTATTCCTTCTGGGGTTTAACAGAAAAGTTTGTAATAATCCTTGCTCTTTGTTGAATACCTACAGTGTGCCAAGTGTTTGGATATTTTGTCTCCAACACCGACAGCATACCGCCTACTCAGTAGCACTAGCCACTATTTTATAGGTGGAAAAACCAACACTTGGAAGAGCTAAGTCCAGAGTCCCCACCCATTCTGACTTTTGCCACAAACTCCCCAACTCTCAGAGGATCAGCTAAACTCCTGTGTGGCACAAGTGAGAAACTGATGGCCAGAGAGGGGCCAGTTACCCAGCAAGGCAGCAGCAGTCCCTAGGAGAAGAGCTGGTCCCCTGGCTGCCCATCCAGGGCTCTGGCCCCTGCCTCTTGTCCCCCTACCTGTGCAGAGGAGCACTGGTAAAAGCCCAGGCGTCAAACACTATCCCCCAGGCACTAGCTTGGCATATGCCCAAGCCCTGAGATCGCTTGTGGTTTCTGTCATTTCTCAGAGGGGCCGTCACTTCAGACTGAAGATGTAAGTACAAGATCATTCCTGGCAGCACTGTTCTTAGGAACAAAAATAACCCAAACTGCCCACAGTAGGGATTGGTCGGCCAAATTCTATTTCATTCATACATACAGCCCTGACACTGGTGATACAGAAGATTTAATGACCCAGGGACATGCTCGTGGTATATTCCACCAAAAAAGCAAATTCCAAAATTATGTCTATGACCCTAATTTTGAATATATGTTATTTATATCTATTTACATATAGCTATGTAGAGCGATGTGTGTGTATTAGATACATCACATATTAGACGTAATATTCATCAAAATGTTATAAGCAGTTATCTCTGAGTGGTAGGATTATGGATGGTTTTTACTTTTTTTATTGTACTTCCGTATTTTATTAATACAAGTCTTCTACAATAATACATATCACTATTCTTTTTGCTTCTGCCATCAGTTAATGAGTGTTATTTTAACAACTAAATTTGGGGAGTCTGTGGGTCAGAGAAAGTATAGAGAACTGGAGAGAAAAAATTGTAGGATAATTTAATAACGTCATGACAGAGCCAAGGAGGCAGGGTGTTGCTGTGGAAATACTGCCCGCTGGGGAGAGTCAGACAGCTTGGAAGGAGGCCCTGCCTAGCCCCCTATTTGCTGTCGGCCTGGGGCAAGTTGCTGATCAGTTTCCAAGCTTCAGATTCCTTAGCCGTCCTCTGGGAGCATGAACAATCCCCGATGCTGGGTGGATGAGAGGGCTGAATCTGGCCGCAGTTGTGGAAGTGGCTTCTGAATTGCGAATGCTTTTCTCAGGGGTGGAATTAGGATCTCTCAGCAAGGGGTTAAGGTGAAGGGGCTGGGGCGAGGGCTTTCCTAGACTGAGAAGATGAGGTCCACGTGGGGACTGGGCTCTGATCCCAACGCAGCTCGCCTGTTCCCGGGATCAGCCACACTCCTTATCTAGCAGACAAAAGGTCAGTTGAAAGCAATGGAGCTAGCCAAAGTGTCCTTTTCTTCTTGATGTGTAGACAGCCCGGATGGTGGGAGAAAGCCCTGGCTAAGCAAAGCCCCTAATATTTGCATTCAGAGCTTCCCTGACACCATCGTGACCCGTGGAAGGGGCCACCCCACCTCCTTCTTCCCAGGGGTCAGTCCTTGGAGGACAGGCAATCGGCTGCTTGCACGGCACCCCCTGGTGGTCAGAGCAGGGAAGACGAGAGTGCTCGACCCGTGCTGGCCACTCTTCCATCACAGGATGGGACAGGAGTGGGTGGGGAGGGGGGCAGAGTCCTTTGGAGGATTTGGCACCTCTTCCAGAGTTATTGTGACCATGGGACCTGCGTGAGCACAGCGTGTGTGGGAAGGGCCTGGCCCGGGGACAGGCTGACCTGGCTTCAGGGCCCTTCCCAGTCTCAGTCTCATTCCCAGGGTTAATAATACTGAGGTATTGATGTGTGGATCCGGCAGGTCACACCTGTCATGGGGTGATAGTGGGATCCCCAACCAGGATCTGCCCACCTGCAGGAAGGTGGTGGGAGGGGTCCCGGTGGGCAGGACAGGTGGGCCAGCAGGAGGGTTGCTGGAGGGAGTGCATGGGACAATCTTGGCATGGGCCCAGCCATAACAGGCGTGCAGTCATGGTAGTACAACTTCTTTTTCTTCTTCTTCTTCTTCTTTTTTTTTTTTTTTAGACAGGGTCTTGCTCTGTCACCCAGGCTGGAGCACAGTGGCACAATCATGGCTCACTGCAGCCTTGACCTCCCAGGCATGAGCTCCCTCCTTAGGCTCCTGAGCAGCTGGGTCTACAGCCACATGCCACAATGCCTGGCTATTTTTTTTTATTTTTAGTAGAGATGGGGTCTCGCTATGTTGCCAAGACTGGTCATGAACTCCTGAGCTCAAATGATCCTCCTGCCTTGGCCTCCCAAAATACTGGGATTACAGGCATGAGCCACCATGCCCGGCCAATGAATAAGTTTTCTTTGCTTCAAAAATCCATTTGCGTTTTTTTTTTTTTTTGAGATGGAATCTCACTCTGTCACCCAGGCTGGAGTGCAGTGGCACAATCTCAGCTTACTACAACCTCTGCCCACTGCAACCTCTGCCTCCTGGGTTCAAGTGATTCTCCTGCCTTGGCCTCCCAAGTAGCTGGGGTTACAGGCATGTGGAATCACACCTGGCTAATTTTTGTATTTTTAGTAGAGATGGGGTTTCACCATGTTGGCCAGGCTGGTCTTGAACTCCTGACCTCAAGTGATCTGCCCACCTCGGCCTCCCAAAGTGCTGGGATTCCGGGCTGCTTTTTAAATTGCAAAAGAAATATATGCATGTGGGAACAATTAAATTAATGCTCAGTTGTATAAACCAGAAAAATAATAGTTTCCTCTTCTTACACTCCTATCTTCTGGAAAATATCAGTACTAAACACTGTGGTTTAGCCAAGTATATAAATATATAAGCACATACATATACATATACATATACATATATGTATATATTATGTATGTCATAATCATTATTACATAACATGAATATGTTATATATATAATAATGATACGATATCTATACTCATACTTTTTTTTTCTATTTTACACACGTAAAACCATATCAACAATGAACATTTATCAATTGCTTACTATATGCCAGGGGCTGTCCTCAATGCTTTATTTGCATTAACTTACTTAGTCCTTGTGACACACAGTACTCAAAACAACCCTATGAGGTAGGAATTATTGTAATTCCCCATTTCTAGATAAGGAACTTGAGGCAGAAGTTGAGCGACTTGCCTGCAGGTGGTGCCAGAGCCTGGAATGGAAACCACACATGCTTTGCCATGTATGTTGTTCTGCAACTTGTTTTTTCCCCCTCTTGACCCTGTGTCATGGTATCTGAACATCTTTCCAAGTTAGCTGGTGAAGAGATACCTCATTCTTTTCCAAGACTGCAAAATGTAGTTATTGATAGCAGAATGCCTGCTTCCTGTAGGGTCTGGTGAGATCCTGAATGACACACTGGAGGGGGTTCATTCTGTGGATGGTGACCCCATTACTGACAGCGGCTCAGGGGCTGGGGCCTTCCTTGACATTGCTGAAGAAAAGGTGAGTAGATGGTAAATTTCATTTGATTAGTCAGTAGTAGGCTTGTTTGCTTATTTCAAACTTGGTGATGATTTTACTGAGCACCAGAGAGAACCACAAGGGTTTTGGTTGAATAGCATCAAGATTGCTTCTGTCCTCATGGTACAGAGGAGGTCAGAGTCCCAGGGCCACAGAGGCTCTCCAGGGATGCACAGGACTGGTGGGGGATATGCAGTGCAAGCTTGTCCTCACACTTGCCTGTGATGAGCGAGCGTCCAGGCCTCACCAATGCAACCCCGCCCTCCTGCTCAGTTGTGAAGGCACATAGCTTTATCAGCCCTTTGAGTCCCCTTCAAGACAGAATCAGATTAACTGCAGGTGTGTTCATGCTATTGTTTGGTAATTGGCTTTTACACCTGCAAAGCCAGTTTTTGAAATGCTGGGCTCCCTAGGGTGCAAAATTAAAGCATAAATAGTTTTCTCACAATGGCCCCTGCTGAAAACCCACAACGCCAGCTCATTCCTTCCCTTCTCCTGGGATGAAAACTTAAGACAGTTCTCACAGCTCTCTCAGTCACTATCTGGTAACAGTCAATTTTCACAGATATTTAAAAGTCAAGCCCAGCATAATATCAAAAATTCAACAAAATTACAAACACAGTTTCCCCCCTTCTATACTCAGGCCTACTGTAGACTAGGAAACTGCCAGGAAAGGGAAGCATGGTTAGGGGTTTCCTCTCTATTTTCTTACTTCTCTCTCCTCCTTATCCTCATGATCTCCCCATCCTCTAGAGCTATTTTTAACATCTGCAGGGGCTGGCCCACCTGGAGAAATGGACACAGTTGTACTTGGCTGGTCAAATTGTGATCTGGGCTTTTGGTGTGGAAGATGCCTGATTGTTGGAACTCTCTCTTATGGGGGCTTTTGTGGTTCCTGGGAGGTCTTCCTGCAGGGGACCTAGGATCAAAATTCCATAGTTTGCCTTGTAACTTCTGCCCGGGCTTCCACCCCATACAGGTTGCCCAGATCTTCTGCGTGGCTCTTTGAGTACAGCCCATTTCAGCCAGCTCCCTTTGGAGAGATTTTATCTTGTCTATCTCCAGCAAAACAACTGCAGGACAAATACCCCTCCCTTCTCCATCCCCCTCCCCTCCTCTCCCCTTTCCCTCTCACCTCCTCCTTCCCTCCTCTCTCCTTTTATTCCCTCCCTTCCTCTCCTCTCCTCTCCTCTCCCCTTTTCTCCCCTCCCCTCCTCTTCCCACTTCCCTCCTTTTCTCTTTCTCCCTCACCTCCCCCTCCTCTCCTCTCCCCTTCCCCTCTCTTCCTTTGTCCCTCTCTCCCAACTCTGAATCTAAAGGGCTCCCTCCTTTCACCTTTTGTCTCCCTGGAGAAAATCAGACACCAGTCCCTGAGCCTCCCAAATTCCAGGAAATACATACCCAGCTCACCAAATGGTTTGGAGTGAGTAGAGGGGAGGAGAAGAACCGCAGTACACTGAAAATTCTTTCCAAAGGAATTCTTGCTCTCCAGGCACTCAACCCCAAAATGAGTCCTGTATGGTTTCTTACACAGCCTAGAGGTAGGAGATGGGCAGGAGCTGGTAGAACGGGTGCCATTTCCTTGTTTTAGCATGGGGAGATTACCTGATGCCTGTGAAATTGCACTTGCCCTTTGGGGCTTTAGCTGACGCTGAGTTAGAAAGAGTCTCATTTTAACATCCTGGGACCTCAACTTTCCTCTAACTGTTTTTTGAGACAGTAATTCTGCAAGGATTTAATATATTTTATGAAAAAGGGGCTCTGTGGTCAAATGACTTTGGGAAATGCTGCACTCTACATTCCTCTTTTTATAGATTCTGAGAAATCCTGCAGCAAGGAAATCTTTTTAACTTTGATTAGCCTGGTGTTTTTTGTAACCAAAAGAACCACATTTTTGCAATAAATAAACAAGCTTTGGGAAATGAAGATAGAACATAGTTTGCTGTCACCAGCCCCAAAGCTGCTCTCTCTTTCCATTTCTCCCATTGCTATGAAACCTTCAGAGAATCTGCCTGTGCATTCCCAAAGGAAACTGAGTCACAGGGAGAGAGAAGAAGCAGGAATGTCTCTGTCTCCCAGCCTAGAGAAGGCTGAGGAGGACAGAGGTGCTGCCTACACATTTCTGAAGCATCTTCATGGGCAAAGACATTGTCTAATGCCTTCTGGATGGGTACATGGGGAGGTCACAGGGAGGCAATGGGTTTCAGTAGAAGTATCTAGAGCTAGACCAGGCTGACTCAGGAGCAGTGATTTCCGTGTTAATGGAGGTGCAAACCAATACTGGGAATCAAACACCAGACATAGGTGCCTGGGCAGTCTTTCCCATCCCTGGATTTATGAAACCATAGATGTGAAAGTCCTTGAGAGAAAGAAGCTACAGAAATGCAGGTGGCTGGAGAAGGCTAGGCAGTCTGTTCTCACCAGCCACAGGCATGTTGATGGGAGCCCAGAGACATGGTCTCTTGTGATGCCTTTGTTTTCAGAATTTAGCAGCAACAGCAGCGGGGCTGGCCGAGGTGCCCATCAGCACTGCTGGAGAAGCAGAGGCCAGCAGTGTGCCCACCGGGGGACCAACCCTCTCTATGTCCACGGAGAACCCAGAGGAAGGGGTCACTCCAGTAAGTAGCTCAGAGCGCAAGCTCCCCTTCACCTGTGTCTGGGGTTGTGGGTTGTGTTGGGTGGGAGCAGTCACTGGCTTTCCCTATGTGTCTGTGAAACACAGTGACAGTCTCATGGGGGCAGTCTGTCGGAGTAAGCACTAAATAGCATTGACCCATTCAGTGGCGGTGTGCAGAGCCCTACACTGTGCTGGGCACTAGGCCTGGTTTCAGGGATGGATAGTAAATAGGATAGACGTGATTCCTGAAGACAGGGTGGTAAGAGGGGCTGTGGTCAGTGGTAGGTGAAGCACAGGATGCCCTGGGAGCACTGAAAAAGGGGCCCAGAGCCCAGACTCGGGGGCACAGAAGTTTCCTGGGGAAAGGATGCTGAAGGCGGGCCTGAGAGGGTAAGTAGAAGTCGCCTAGCAGAGGGGGTGGAACAGGTGTTTCAGCAAGGTGGGCTGGCAGGAGCAAAGGCCTGAAGCCTGAAGAAGGGCAGCATACCTGTGGGGTCAAGCGTGAGCCAGGGGTCGGGGAGAAATGGCTGGAGAGGCTCTAAGGACACAGAGAAGATTCAGCAGAAGTGGGGAGTCACTGAAGGGTAAGAAACAAGGAATGGATGTAGCCAGATTAGAATTCCAGAAAGATCACTCTGACTACTGAGAGGAGAAAGGGTGGGGAAGCAAACTTGGAGAAAGAGGCCGGGCTTGGGGGCTGTGTTGGAGTTTGGGTGAGTGGTGGTGCCAGCCTGCCCTGGGATGTGGCCAACAATGTCAGATCCTCCCAGAAGTCCCAGTGAGCAAGGGGCTGAGAAACATCCATTGAATTTGTCCATTCACGGTGAGTGGCCTTGGGGAGAGCAGCTTCAGGGCTATCGGAGCGGTGGAAGCCAGATGGCACTGGGCTAGGAAGAGAGTGGGACAGGGAGTGGTCCACGAGGGTAGACTACTGCTTCAACAAGAAAGCTGTGGAGTCTGAGGACCTAGACTTTTGTTTCAACACAGTGACTTAAGCACCAGTAGAAGCTGCACTCTCTGATTAGGGGACACAGCTTGGAAGGGCTATTGGTGAGCACATGCCCCTCGGGGTTGGCAGGGAGTGGCTGGTGGCACACCACACGGGTGGGATGCTGGGGTGGTCTCGCAGCATGAGTGGTGTGAGGAACCAGGCTTCCATATTTCTGTCTGATGTCTCACTGTGGGTTTCCATGTGAAGTGAGGTCTTGGTGTGCAGGTGCTTTGAGGGGCCCTGGCCTTCTGTTCCTTACCACAGTGTGGTGGATCAGCATCATGGGGCACTGACGCGGTTCCTGTTGACTTTCTATTCAGGGTCCAGATAATGAAGAGCGTTTAGCAGCAACAGCAGCAGGGGAGGCCGAGGCACTCGCCAGCATGCCTGGGGAAGTGGAGGCCAGTGGTGTGGCCCCCGGGGAGCTGGACCTCTCCATGTCCGCCCAGAGCCTCGGGGAAGAGGCCACTGTGGTAAGGATCGTACAGTGCCCAAAGGTTGAGGTCATGGTGGGAGCAGCTCCTGACCTTCTCAGAGTGTGGGGCTCCTGCTCAGCAAACCCATGGGAGCCTGAGGCACGGGGATCTCTGACCAAATACTCACTTGGGGGTGGAGTTTGCCAAGGCCTGGGTGAGTGTGGTGAAGCCCCTGGAGGTCAGTGAGCAGCTGGGCCCTGGGGATGGGTGAGTTGCAGAGGTGGGGTTTGTCCCAAGGCTGCATGCAGGACCCTGCTGCCTCCACCCACAGGGGGTGGGAGCCAGAATGGAGGAGTGGCGGGCTCCTGGAGGGCGATGGGGGATCAGGCAGCAGGCGGCAGGCCCCAGCAAGGGTCAGAGGGCACGGCCAGGCCTTCCTAGCCCTCTCCTCGTGCAGCGCACAGACACTGTCCAGCTCCTGAAGGCAGGGCACATCATCCCAAGGCACTTGGCCAGTCTGTCCCTGTGCTGTCTCTACTATGGGTGCCCTCAAGTTCTTCCAGCTCAGCTGATTCAAACCTGAACTCCTCCTTTCCACTCCTCCTATGTTCCCACCTCAAATGAATGGGACCATCATCCTCCAGTCACCTAATCCAGAATTTTCTTCTCTCTTCCTTAAGTTCTATATCCCATCAAGCATCAAGTCTTGTTGATTTTTCTGCCCAAACACATCATGAATCGCCGGCTCTGTCCTCCTCCAATGCTGGCCCCTGTGCTGAGCCTGCCGTGTCCCCAGCCCGGGCAATTGCTAAGAGCCCTGTCTGGCCTCCTCCATCCTCTCACAGCTTGTCTCCAGTCTTTCAGCCCCACTTCTTGGAAGCTTCCCATCGCCCTTCCCTGCAGACCCAGCTCCCATACCTGGCCTGAGAGCCCTTGCAGGGTCTGGCCTACCTAGCCTTGCTGACCACCTCTTGGGCCCGTCCTCTCTGCCTCTCAGCAGCACTTCAGCCACACTGACCTTTTTCTAGTTTCTCCATCATGCCTCTCTTCCTCATACCTCTTCCCTCATCATGCCTCATACCCTCTTCTCTCTGCTGAGAACCTTTCTCCCTTCTCTCCTCCTTTTAATTCTAGCTTATCCTTTAGAATTCAGCTCAAACACCACTTCCTCAAGAAGATGTCATTCCAGACTGTGAACTCTCCCCATTCTTGTCCTCAAAAGGCCTCATCATCATTGTAGTTGATAATGAACTTGGCAAATAGTTCATGTCTGGCTCCCTACCAGAATGTAAGCTCTGCTAGAACAGAGATTACTGATACAATATTTTGTTCATTGACATACTTCATTCCTGACCAATGATAGGCACTGAATGAGTATCTGCTGAGTGAGTGAATGGCTGGGGTCATCAGGACATCACAGATCAACAACGCCGGCCTTTGATGTCATTGCACACACTTGTGCCCCTGGTCTGTCTGTGCTGGTCAGGCAGCCTTCAGCCTTTTAGCATCCATGCTGGGAGACCTTGCAGTGTGGCTGGGGGTGGAGGTGGGGGACATGCACTGATGGTGCCACAGGCCACTGGGCAGTTATATGGATTCTTTCAGTGAACAAAGTGGCTGTCTCCTTCTCCTTCTTCTTCCTCTTCCAGTTGCCCTTTCCTTTCTCCTCCTCTTCTTCTCCACCTCCCCTCCCTTTCCCTGTCTTCCCCTTTCTTTAATGTCTAGGCACTTACGACAGAGTGGGAAAGCCAGGGATCAGGTTCTACCAAGTCCTAGCTTAATAGAAACTAGAATTTGACCAGCAGGGTTGTCTGAAGATAGAAGGGCTATCTGTAGAGGTGGTGAGGTCCTAGTTACTGGAGGTGTATCAGCTGTAAAGCAAAGAGTATTTGAAACAAGTCTCAGTCAATTTTGGAAGTTTATTTTGCCAGGGTTAAGGATGCACCTGTGACACAGCCTCAGGAGGTCCTGACAACATGTGCCCAAGGTGGTTGGGGCACAGCTTGGTTTTGTGCATTTTAGGGAGACATGAGACATCAATCAATATATGTAAGGTGTACATTGGTTCAGTCCAGAAAAGCAGGACAACTCAAAGTAGGGAGGGGGCTTCCATGTCATAGGTAGATAAGAGACAAACGCTTGCATTCTTTCAAGTTTCTGATTAGCCTTTCCAAAGGAAGCAATCAGATATGCATTTATCTCAGTGAGCAGAGGGATGACTTTGAGTTCTGTCTGTCCTTTGTCTGTAAGGAATTTCCTTAAGGACAAATTGTGAGGGAGGTATGTACCTTTCTTATCTTAGTAGATACCTTTTAAAGGAATAGCATGGGAGGCCGTTTTGCCCTAAGCAATTTCCATTTTCATTTTTCCCTTTGGCTTAGTGATTTTGGGGGTCCTGAGATTTATTTTCCTTTCACATTTCCCCCTTTTTAAAATCTTTCAGATAAAGCATTTTAAAGAAAATGAGTCTCTAGTTTCAGGTTTAGTTGATTTCTCATGGCTAGGAGGGTTTATTCCTAGACAGGTAGGTCCCATGTTATTAGGAAAGTTCACTTTTATCAGGCTGTGAAGTCTCATGCCCTACAAGAGAAAATAGCGGGAGGGAGAAAAACAACAAATAAAAAAAGAAGAACAATCCTGGAAAATTGATATAGGTCATATTACTCTGAAGTCCATACATCAGTAGGCAGGTATGAAAGTGGCTTATTATGTAAATAGGTTGCTGTTATTTTCCTCTGAAGTTTAAGTTGTCTAGCTTCAGTTTGCAGGGCTTTAAGAAAGCATGGCTTAATTTTAGTGATTTCAAAAATGGGGAAAAAATGGAAAAGAAGAAGAAGAAAAAAATTTGAAAACATTATTATGGAGACTTGTAGCCAGTACAAATTTTAGAATTCAGTCCAAACTGTAGAAAATAATAAAAATTGAAAAACATTAGGCAAGACCAAAATCTAACAACAGGTGTTCTATAGTTTATTTTAAAACATAAGTTTTCTCTTTCCAGTCCCATTTTCACTAAAGAAAAATCATAGGACAATTTCATTTGCAAATTAAGTTTTAGTCTTATTATACTTGGCCTGAGTATTTGCATAAAGTCAGCAAAAATAGTTATTTGCCATATAGGCTCCTCTTTTTTTTTAATTGACTTTGCTGGAGCTTTATTCCATAAAGAATCTCAGATTTGACTTTAAGGCCTTAAGGACAGCCCATGCCTGCAAATACCTGTATTAATTGGGTGAAGGCCTCACCTTGAGGTCTCAAGAAAACTTGGGGCTCCTGGACCTGTCAGAAAGTGACATTCTTTACTTACCACAGGTCAGGAACCTGTACAGAGATTGTGTAGACAAGGTATGAGGCCAGCTTTCCCAAGGGCTTTTATTGGCTCTATAAATCAACTTTGGTTCCTTAAAGGAGTCTGTATCTGATAGCATGCCATTCCAGTCAAAACCATGGTAAAATAACCAGTGTCTCCAGCTGTGCTCTGTTACAAAAGAAAACAGATTGTTATCACACTTACACAAATAACTATATTGTAAGTTAAGAATACTCACAACTAATTACCAAATTTTTGGAGAGATCAGGTAGAAATATGCTCCAAATTTTGTTTATATGAGTATATTTTACTCATTTTTTTTTGAGGCTGAGTTTCTCTCTTGTCTCCCAGGCTGGAATGCAGTGGCATGATCTTGGCTCACTGCAACCTCTGCCTCCTGGATTCAAGTGATTCTCATGGCTCAGCCTCCCAAGTAGCTGGGATTACAGGCATGTGCCACCACCCCTGGCTAATTTTTGTATTTTTAGCAGAGATGGGGTTTCACCATGTTGGTCAGGCTGGTCTCAAACTCCTGACCTCAGATGATCCACCTGCCTCAGCCTCCCAAAGTGCTGGGATTACAGGCATGAGCCACTGCGCCTGGCTACTCAATTGTTAAAAGCTGTAAATAGCTCAAAAGAAAAGTTTTCTTGGCTCCGATAAACAAACAAAAAAAGGATCAGCAATGTTTTAAGCAAAAAGTTATAAAAGGATTTTCAGTCTTCTAAAAGTCCACAGTTAACTCCTGTTCTGCATGTTATTCATGAACATTTCAGCTCTTCATGGGAGCCTTGGAAGTTTTTTCTCTATTCTAACATTACAATCTTCAAAACTTGCATTGAAGAGCACCTATCAGAGTCCTATGCCGATTATAAAACCACCTTTTGAAAGGGATAAAAGCAAAACAACTGTGGATGACAAAAGTGTTGAAACAGTCATAGTTAAAGACACAATTGACAAGGAAACTTGGTTACTTCTGTGGCATACAGCAATTTTACATAATAATTACTACTGATAAAATATGCTAAAACATATCAGAATCACAGGAATTTCATACAACTCTGAGCACATACTAATAACACATTTATGTAAATATAATCCAAAGAAGGTTAAACACTGTTTCATATTTGAAAATACTTCCTGTATGATTTTATTATATCGAATAAGCCAAATATGTCTCTTTTGGACTTCAGGGGAATAATAGCTCAGAAGAAAAGCTTTCTTGGTTCTGAAAATCAAAAAATTAATGGGACCTAAGTTAGAATTTGACTTTGGAAATTTTGTCAAATATAAAAAGTATAAAACACTTGATATCACAAAATAGGATCACAGGTCATTGTAAAATAAGTCATTCATTTAGCCAAAGTGATACCTCAAAGAGTTAAAAAAAAAGGCAAAAATATTTATTCTTTGATTGAAGAGATTGATTTCTCAAACAATTAGCCCTAATAAAAACAACAGGAGGCCAATTAAATTTGTTTTTCAAAAATTTTTAAACAATCTATAAAATTTTAATCATCTTGACCATAAGATATAATTTCCATAAGCCTTTTTATAACCTTTATAACCTTTATTAAGGAGTGGGTTAATGCTCCAAGAAAACCTTGTTAATCTGACACAGGGGCCAATATGCTGGTCTTGCATCAGCATGCCTTTGACATTAATGGTTAATTTATAGAGAAACTAAACTTATTTTATCTCTCAAAATCTGCCCTTATAATCTCATGTGCCCACCTCTTCTGCAGTAGTCTTTGGACCTTGAGGAGTTGAATAGCTTTAATTTTTGGCGCTATGTCTCACGAACGCAGTTTATTTTGGTTGACATCTTCTACAGGATCTGTAGGTGAGGCTTTAACTGCTGTCAGTGTTTAAGATTTAGCAGGACTTGGTGTCCTTCTTAGACCCAGGAATCAAAGCCCTGTAACTTAATGGCACAAGTACTTTAAAAGCACATACAGAAATGTAGAGCACCTGATTCTGTCACTGTTCTGGGCACCACTATGTAACCTGCCATGATCCCTGGTGGACTGAACAAATGGGGGCAAATGTGGGAATAAAAGACAAGAGACAAAAGAGTATATTTGGAAGAAGGGGTCAGGGGAAACTTGCCTCTTGTGGACAAGGGCCCTGAGCTTTACACAGCCCTCCATATTTATTAGGCAAAAGAGACAGTGAGAAGGGGAGTGGAAGAAGGGGTCAGCTGCTTAGTCCAGAGTAGGCTTGCAAGACTGCATTCCTCAAACAACAGGCTCTAGATGTTGCAGTAGATAACCTCGGCACCCGGGAGTGATTGCCTCCAGCAAACCTTCTGTCGGCGGGAACACTTGTGAGTTTGCTCACATCCTGCATTCATGATAAACAGTTTGCTGTTCGATCATATAGCCTCCAGTGGAATGCTGAGTTGGTCACGTCCCATGGGCCTTCGGCTCCCTTCACAGAAAGTTATATGGACGTAATAACCTTAATTAAAAAAAATATTCTTTTTGTTAATCTGCATCTTTTCTAAGCAAACGAAAACTTAGTAATAATGACATAGGAATTATTTAGATAAAGTGTAAGATCTGTTTATTAGGCCAGTTACCCAAAGGCAAAAGAAAAGACCTTCTGCAGTGCGACTGCTGTTCTCTATGGGGAATATTATATTGGAAGAAAATACTCCTTTTAGATCTTTAAGATAAAACATTTTTTTAGCATCAGGCCACAACATTTATAACCAGAGGAAAAAAAATCTTACAGGAGCTGAAAATGAGTTGAAGATTAGTTATTATTTCAGGCCTTTTAAAAGGCGAGAGAAAACAGAAAAGAGCAAGATGCAATAAAAGTCGAACTTTGTGTAAAAAAATTATAATGCCTTGTAATTTATTAAGAGTAAAGCAATACCTTAAGAAAATTTTGTAGTTCAAACCAATTCTTTAGTGTATAAGTGGTTTTTTAAAAATCAAAACCCAATCTCTGGAAAGACCATTTTAAATAATTTCCCTTTAATTGTAGACAACTTGCTCATATGAAAGCTTTTTTTTTCATCTGTCTTCTTCTTATGATGTAAACAGACCATTTCTGACATGCTTGGACTTTCTAGTTTTCCTGAGCATCCCTCTTTCTGAAAAAAAAAAAAAAAAAAGTCATTTTATTCTAGGACAAAATTTACCATAAAAGATTCTTTCTTGTATAAAATTATTTTTCTTTAAGCTTTCTTACCAAAATTACCTCTTTATTTCTATAACTTTCTTTACATCTCTCTCATTTCCTGATTCCCTTCACTTTGTTTTATACATAACCTTTAAATAAGCTTTGAATGAGACAAAAATTATTCACCTTTTAAAAAACACACTTTTTTTTAGAAAGAATGTTTTCTTACAATATATTTTTTAATTGGAATATACCCAACTAATGAAATATCTATTATTTAATTTAACTTTAGATTCTAAATTATGACACATTTGTCTATAAGTATTTATCCCATTACATTTACCTAATTATTTTTAATACTGTACCTAGATTACTGTATTTATGAAAACTGCAATAGTCATTATTTAAAGTTATTTCCCTGCCAACCATTTTATAGCCTGTGAATTTCAGGTGTTTATCTAAGTAGAACCTTAAGATTAAATATATGGTTATTTTACTAAATCAAGATTTAGCTATTTTCATTAAACTAATGTTCTTGTCTTATTTATCAGACAGTACACAAGCAAAGGTTATCCTGTTTTGGGCTGAGTTTATAGTTTTGTAACCCTTGTGCCAAATTTTGACACCTTATAGTATTTGGCAGGGATAAGTATGAAATTGCTTGATCAATAAATGCAAACAAAAATGTATGCTGGCAATTCTTAAGACATTTCTAATATTGCTTTACCAGTAATTTTAAAACTAGCTTATTAAAGACTTAAGTCGTGTGAACTTGAAAAGCATTTGGGTTTATCATTTAATTTATGAGTACTCTTTAAGCCATTGTCATACCTTGTAGCGAAAAACACAACAAAATGTGTATGTACACATAAACACACACATACATACTCATACAACCAAAAATCCTATAGCTTTTACTTCAGAACTCTAGCCATGAAATATTAATACAAACACATTGTCCTGCAGAAACAATAACAAAAATAAATGTCTGGATGCAAACAGTGGATTTTATCTCAGGAGAAATGTAACAGCAGACTTAAAGCAGGCAGAGGCAGAGAAGAAAGCAGAGAGATAGAGAACTTAGGAACTTTATAGTTGCAGATCGACTTTTGGGCTCTGAATTTTTCTTGCTGTAATTGTGCATGAAAATACCATATATGTTCATTTTACAAAAATACTTGCAAGAAGAGGCACCATAAAACCAACAGAGTGCCTGAAAGAGGGTCATTCTCCTTGTTTTTCCTTATTCTTAGATTATTTGTTTCCCACCCTTTTTTTTTTTTTTTTTTTTTTTTTTGAGACGGAGTCTCCCTCTATTGCCCAGGCTGGAGTGCAATGGTACAATCTCGGCTCACTGCAACCTCCACCTCCTGGGTTCAAGTGATTCTCCTGCCTCAGCGTCTTGAGTAGCTGGGACTACAGGTGCGTGCCACCATGCCCAGCTAGTTTTTTTGTATTTTTAGTAGAGACAGGTTTTCACCATGTTGGCCAGGCTGGTCTCGAACTCCTGACTTCATGATCCCTCCCAAAGTGCTGAGACTACAGGCATGAACCACCGTGCCCGGCCTTTTTTATTTATTTATTTTTTATTTTAAGGGACGAACTGAGCTGTGGCCTAGCATTTTAGTGGAGTGTGTCAAAGTGTGCTGGTTGCGGGTGAGACTCTACAGTGTGTCACCACTGAGCCATTTCCACCCTCTTACGTGTCTCAGTTTCTCTCTGTGTAGTTCTAGCACCTCCAAGAGGCTCAAAATCAAAATGCAGGGTGACCAGCTCCTATATGCACTTCCTGAATGAGGCTTTTTAAACTAATTTTGTTGGGGGTTCCCTGTAGGGTTGCTGCATGTCATGGGGGGGTCAACCCCCCAAGACACTCCCACTTGCCCTCCAGTCACCCAGGGGCACCTTTCAGCTGGGAGGTGCAAAATGCCCTTTCTCTTTGAAGCTGAGGAAACTCATTCTCCCATTTATCTGTGAAAACAATAGTTCAATTCCTCATGCAAAATGCTCACACTAGCCAATTGAGATTAATTTCAGGAGGAAAGGCAATGGAGAAGACACCCTTTAGAATGTACCTCTGAACTAGAATTAGGGTCCTAAACAATAACTTCCTAGGAGAAAAAAAAAAAAAAACAGCTAAGACCACTTCCTGTAAATTGTCCTCAGCCACCTCTAACTTTGTACTCTCATCCACCATTATACACACTAAGGTCAAATCCTCTCCCGGTATAAGGTAATCTCTGGTACCCCCAAAAGCCAAAGAGGTCAGGTCTTACAATACAGGAGAGCAGAGCTTCAGACCTAAGAAGAATCTGCTCATGACTCTTGAAACTCCACAAAGAAAATGGAACACCCCAAAAAGGGGCGGGTGGTGCCTTTGTTCTGAATACTTTAAGGGGTTTGAGTCATTGGAAGCCTCCTCTAGGTTTTTATTGGTACTAAAGATAGTGAAGGGGGAAGGAGGTATAGGGCGGAAGAAAAGTAAACGAAAGAAAAAAAGTTTTTAAGACAGGAAGCAAGGATAGCAAACGTGCATGTTGTGTTTTTTTTTCCCCTCTCTTGCAGCTGTGAGAAATTTTAGCCAATTCAGAGAGGTCTTGTTACCCATAATTTAGAATTCTCATTCAGATTTGACCAAGTCAGGTAGAGCTGGTCAAATCTGATGGGAGAAAGATCAGAACAACAACCAAAAAAACCCTAACAACATGATTACTGAGCACTTTAATAGTAAGGAGAAATTAGGAACAGCTGGTTGTTAATCTTAACTTCAGCTAAGACAAAACCCCAATTCAGCTACTTACTAGAGATAGGTCTTAGGCAGAAGATTGCTCTCTACCATCCTAGAAGCAGGAAAGAATTTAAACTTGCCTTCCCTGTTAGAAATGAGCTCAAACTCCAGAAAGGAGTTAGGTGCCTTCCATCATCCTAGAAGCAGGAAAACTTGCATTCCTTGTTGGAAGCAAGTAAGACTGCAAAAAAAGAATTGTACAGCAAAATAAACTTTAGAACTTGACCAAATTTTGGGAGATCAGGGATTCTCTGGAGGGGAGGCTCCTAGGCCTCAGCAAATTGTCCTATTGGTTTGAACCATAAAGAAAGCTCAAGCTGGTATCAAGCACCGATATGAGATTTGTCAAAGGTCAGTGGCACCTCCACTCAGAATCCCTTCTTGGTTGCCAAAATGTGAACCCCAAATATCTGAGACAGGTCTCAGGAAAGTTAGGTAGTTTATTTTGCAAAGGTCAAAGACATGCCCGTGACACAGCCTCAGGAGATCCTGACAACATGTGCCCAAGGTGGTTGGAGCACAGCTTGGTTTTATGCATTTTAGGGAGACATGAGACATCAATCAGTATATATAAGGTGTACATTTGTGCTGTCCAGAAATGCAGGACAACTCAAAGTGGGGAGGGGGCTTCCATGTCATAGGTAGATAAAAGACAAATGATTGCATTCTTTTGAGTTTCTGATTAGCCTTTCCAAAGGAAGCAATCAGATATGCATTTATCTCCGTGAGCAGAGGGGTGACTTTGAGTTCCATCTGTCCTTTGTCTGCAAGGAATTTCCTTATGGACAAATTATTAGGGAAGTATGTAGCTTTTTTTTATCTTAGTAGCTATCTTTTTAAGGGCTAGAATGGGAGACAGATTTGCCCTAAGTAGTTCCCAGCTTGATTTTTTTTTCCCTTTGGCTTATTGATTTGGGGATCCTGAGATTTATTTTCCTTTCACAAAGCTAAGGCCAGAGAAGTGCTTAGCAGAGATGTGCTAGAAGGGACTCTGGGGTGGGTGGGAGGATGCCCTGAAAGGTACGTTCTAATGCTGGAGCTCCAGGCGAAGGTGTGGTCCTGGAGGAGCAAAGGAAAGGGAATCATGGAGCCTCCAGTTATCTGAGGCTTTAGCGCTTTCCACCCCCCAGCCTCACACCCACTGAACCAGGGGCATGGGCGAAGGGGCACAGCTCCTCATGCCAATTTCATTTCAGGGTCCAAGCAGTGAAGACAGTTTAACAACAGCTGCAGCTGCAACCGAAGTGTCCCTCAGTACTTTTGAGGATGAGGAAGCCAGTGGGGTCCCCACAGATGGCCTGGCTCCCCTCACAGCCACCATGGCCCCTGAGCGGGCAGTCACTTCTGTAAGTGTCATCTTGTGTCCTCTCTGGCTCACAGGGGAGAGACAGGTCTGCATCATGCGACAACAGTCATCCTTGGCCTTGGCAGGGGCACCTGTAGCTTGGTTATGAGCACATGTCTGGGTGGGCAGCTGCTGGAGGGAGGCAGGACACAATGCTGGAGTGTAGCAGAGGCCACAGCCCTGCTCCCTCCTAGCCTTGCCCAAGAATTTACTCAGAGACAAGTGGTCCACAGTTGGCACTGAGGCTTAGAAGAGATGCATATTTCAGAAGGGGTGTGCTGGGGGTAACGATGATCGTAGGTAAGAACGTGCTTTGAAACTGGGCTGGCACCACAGAAACGACTGTTACAACTCCCTGGCAGCCTCATGAGCGAGGTGAGGTGGTGCCTTAATGCTGGTTTTGTTTTCAGGGTCCTGGTGATGAAGAAGACTTGGCAGCAGCCACAACAGAGGAGCCCCTCATCACAGCTGGGGGTGAAGAGTCCGGCAGCCCTCCCCCTGATGGGCCACCGCTGCCCCTGCCCACAGTGGCTCCTGAAAGATGGATCACTCCAGTAAGTGGCATAGAGCTGTAAGATTTGACTTGGCAGACCTTACAGGGGAGAGAAAGAAAGGCCAGAGTTGTGGGAAGGGCTGGCCCCCAGCTTTCTCAGAGGTAGGTTTTCATGTTGGTTTGCAAATTTGGGCATTTGAGGAGCTTTAACCTGAGGAAAGCTTGAGGAAACTCCAGATCATAGAGAAAAAGCAAGAGATTAAAGTCAAGGGGACCTAGCTTTGTGTCCCAAACTGATCTTTGGATTGAAATGAGATCTAACAGTCAGTGTTCTTCTGGGGACAAAGTTGACAGTAAGACGTGGCGGGTCTGTAGAGGGGATGAGAGCATCAGTGCTGTGTGTGTGTTGGGGGTGACCTCCAAGTCCCTGCCAACATGAGTTTTTATGACTCTTGGCTACAACTGTGTGACCTTAAGCAAATCCGTTGATTTCTTTGGCCCTCCGTTTCCTCATCTGTGAAAATGAGTGGCTGCAAGGCCAAGTCAGAGAATGAATGCAGGTTGGAGAACGTTTACAAAGCTCTGTACCCACACCTAGGGTTGTCACCACTTAAGGACTATAACTGTGTCTCTTAGAAATAGGAAACCCAGACCTGGCCCTCAGCTTGGGCTTGTGTGAAGAGGGACTGCTCTTCCAATGTGAACACATTTTTAAAGGAAAATATCTCCTTGGTGATCAGCATTGGCTCATCAGTTCCCCAAACACCACTTGGTCATGCACACTTTGAAAGCCACCACTCAAGCTACAGTCATGTGGCCCATTGGCCACGGTGCGGCAGGACTGACCTGTGAGGGGAGGGGCTGTGGGACGGGAGATCAGGACAGCCCCCTGAGGTCCTGAATGCCCCTTGCTCCGGGGCCTCCTATAGCGGTTATCACGCTGCTTCCTGTCTCTTTAGAGTTGTCTTGCATTCATTCGTTGATTCACTCATTGACTGGACACATAGCGGCTCTGGGCCCTCAGTCAGGACACTTGTAGATAGAGATGAATGTGACCTCACTCCTGTCCGCAACAAATTCACAATCAAGCGGCAGGAAGTAAGCCATCTGAACTGACATTGATTAATCACTCTGTGCTCCAAGTTTACCTGATTCTCTTCACCACATTCCTCTTCAGTATAAGGTGAATGGGAGATAAGATGTGGAGAGGTAAAGTCACCTGCCACTGTTGCCTGCCTCTGAGAGGTAGAGCTGGGATTTGAACCTGCATGCTGGCCTGCAAAGCTGGAGCTCTTGAGCTTCACCCAGCTGAAGTCCTCATCCATGAGAGTGTGGTGTGGTGGGAAGATCCTGGACTGGGGGCCAGGAGTTCGAGGTTCTGCTTCCAGAGATGCTGCTGACTTGTTGTAGGCCCTGGGCCTCCTTGTCATCATCTATAAAAGGAAAAAAGGTGAAGAACAACTCTGGTTTTTAACTCTGGTCACGCATTAGAGATGGCTGGGAAGCTTAAAACAATGCAGGTGTCTGAGTCCAGTGCTAGACCAAGTAACTGAGACACTGGGGCTGGGGCTTTGGGCTTGCAGGGCATCTAGTGGGCAGCCAGCTCTGGATTGACCCGCTCATGCACTGTGACTTCCCAAACAATGTCCCCCTGCTCTTCTGCACCTCACCCCAAGGTATACACAAAGCACCAAGTTCAAATCTCCCTAGTGATGCCACATCGGGCACAGATAGAGCCGGTTCTCCTGTTTCTTTCTCTTTTTAACGTTTTATTATTGAAAACCTAAAAATGTCACAAAGGAGCTTAGACAAAGGAGCTTAGAATAGTATAATTAACCCCCACATACCCATCGTTCAGTTTGGATAATTATCAACACTGACAATCTTGCTTCATCTGTTCCACCTCCTACCACCATCTTTTTTGGAGAGAAGGGGAATACTGGAGTATTCAAAAATCAACCCCAAACATCCTATCATTTATTTAACTGGTAAATAATTCAATGTGTATGGCTGATAGAGTGATCTGGTACCTTTGTTTTGGTCATAGCCATAGTATCACGATGCATCTAACAAAATGAGCAGGGGTTCCTTCGTATTATCTAATGCCCTGGCTATTTTGTTTTAAAATACCTCTTTCCAGTTTGTTTGACTCTGAATCCAAACAAGGTCTACACATTGCATTTGGTTGATACGTCTCTTAAGTGTCTCTTAATCTCTAATTGTCTCCCGCCTTCTTTTTCCCTTTTGCCATTAATCTGTTGAAGAAACTGGGTCAGTTTCTTCCTTAGACCCTTGATGTTTTCAGCTTTGAGAAGTCAGTCTGGTAAGGCTGGCTGTGCTCATGGGAGTGTGAGGGTTACTGCTCCTGGGAAGCTCTTTGTCCACATATATTAACAATCATAAGAGCGCATATTGCTGACCAGAAACTTCTCTTCTAGGAATTGATTCTAGTGGAGATAGTCTGATAGCCTTTGTTGTTGCCGCTTTTTAAAAAAAGGCTTTGTTTACAAGGATGCTAATCTCAGTGTTGTCCATAATAGAGAAAAATTGGGCATAATTTAATTAGCCAACAATAGAAGATTAATTGAATTAAAGTATATTCAAACAATGGAACATTATGTAGCTAATAAAATTATACCTGTTAGAAATATTTAATGATGGGGGAAATGCTTAGCATATAATGTTAAGTGAAAGAAGCTGGTTGTAAACCTAGTATATTGTGTGGTTAACTATTTAAAAATACACACATGCAAAAACACTAGAAGGAAATACCCTCTGTAAATGTTGGCAGCTGTTGCCTCAAAGTGGTGGAACTGTGGAAGGTTGTTAGGTTTTTAATACATTGTGGTTTAATACATTTTCTACTATGGTGGCTTACAATTTTTATGATAGATTTTTTAAAGCTCTGAGAAGGAAGAGAGAGAGAGAGAGACAGACACAGAGAGAGTTAGAGATAGAATGAGAGAGAGAAACGGAGACATGGTTGATGTCTGATGAAGACATTCCTGCTAAGTCCCCACGTTAGGGATCTGCAATGAACTCAGATGAATGCCCCGATTCCTGAGCAGAGTCTAAAAGCACAAGATTGTCAAGAAGGCACCCACCTTGGGATATCTCTAGGATCAGTTTTTTTGTTTCTGTTTTTGTTTTCTTGAGACAGGGCCTCACTCTCTTGCCCAGACTAGAGTGCAGTGGCGTGATCTCGGCTTACTGCAACCTCCGCCTCTTAGGCTCAAGCGATTCTCCTGCCTCAGCCTGCAGAGTAGCTGGGATTACAGACAGACATGTGCCGCTACTACCCGGCTAATTTTTTTGTTTGCTTATTTGTTTGTTTTTAGTGGAGACAGGATTTCACCATGTTGGCCATGCTGGTCTTGAACTCCTGACCTCAGATGATTCACCTGCCTCAGCCTCCCAAAGTGCTGGGATTACAGGCGTGAGCCGCTGCACCCGTCCTCTAGGATCAGTATTGGCCCAGCCTCTAGGATCAGTATTGGCAGATATGTGACAGAGCCAGGCATGCTATACTGCCATGGTGACTCTAGGTCAGTTTGAATCTCAGAGTCACCATGACAGTATAGCTTGCCTGGCTCTGCTACATATCTGTGGCCAGTTTTCTTCACTTCTCTCTGTCACAGTTGACTCATGCATCAAATGGGAATCATAATCTTAGAACCTACCTCTTGATTTGTGAGGATTAAATGAGTTCATCCATGGAAAACATGACCCAGCACATAGTACATGCTCAATAAATTAGCTGTCTAGAATTATTTTGCAGATGAGGCCCAGAAAGGATTAGAGCTTTGCTCCTAGGGGTCCAGTAGGAGTGAGAGCCTTTGTCTCTGGATTTTTTAGTGCTTTGGTTTTCTGCACTGTTTACAACCACTGTCTTCAGACGGGAGCCAGAAGTTGATTAGCAAAGCCCACACTGGTCACAATGATGTCATTACATTTCTAAGGACTGACTAATAGATCTTAACAAATATATGGAGAATGTTGCCCTGGAAATGAAGTAATATATTTAAAAATCTGTGTTGTGGAACACAAGTGAGAGAGAAGACTGATTGTCAGGTGTGGGTGACTCCAAATGCCAGGCTCTTCCCACTAGTCATTTGGCAAATAGGTACTGAGAGCTTATTATCTGCCGGTGCAGGGGATGGTGCAGTGATCAGGCAGCCTCTCTCTTCATGGGGCTCACTGACTTCAGCCCAGTACAAGCCCTAGCTCATGCCCAGCTCACTGACCAGGACCAGGGAATGTCATCGGAACTCAGCAGCCCCATGTCCCAAATATGTTGTGGCCACGTTTTAACCAAATCTTCTTCTTTTAGGCTCAAAGAGAACATGTGGGAATGAAAGGACAGGCTGGGCCCAAAGGAGAAAAGGTTTGTGCTGTGACCATCCTGGGGAACACTTTGGCTCCTGATCAAGTGTCCTGAACATGTTATTTAGGTTTGATTTAGCCCACTCTGATCAAGGGGATCGCAGAAGCAGCAAGAGGGCTAAGCCCAAAAGAAATGGACTTGTAGGTCTGGGAGAATCAGGAAAAGGGCACTGGGCAGTTCTGACTGAGTCTCTTCTCACCACCTGGTGACCGTGGCCAAGTCCCTTGACCTCCGTGGGCCTTGGCTTCTCTGTCGAGTATCAAAGGGTCCTATGATTCCACACCTGGCTCTGCCACACATCTGCAACCAGTTTTCTTCACTTCTGTGTCCGGGCTCTGGGCTCTGCCCCTGATTTTCTTCCTGGGAAAATGTTGGGCAGACAAGAGCTTTTGAGGACCACAGGCCTAGGTTTGCCTTTTTGTAGCTGTGGGATCTCCCGAAAGTTCTTTACTATTTCTTTGCTCCAGTTTCTCCATCTGTAAAATGGAGGTGGTGATGATGACCCTGCGGTGTGGGATGACGTGAGGGGATGTTTATAGAAGTGCTTTAGCTGGTGTCAGTCACTGCGGGAATAACAAATTCCTCTTACCAAAACACCTATTGGTGATAAGCTGTTCCCAGGGGGATGTGTCCACAGTGACCCCAGTCAAGAGATCCTGCCCAGGGAGCCTGCTCTGGCCATAGGCAGCAGCTTGGCTGCCTCTGGGAGCCTTCTCATCTCCACCATGACCCTGGTCCTCTGCCTGTCTCACCTCCCTCTGGGCTGCACAGAGGCCGTTCCTTGCAGCAGATGATGCTCCCGTCCTGGGGCCTCCTGAGTGCCCACCGGGGTGTGGGGAAGGGAGGGCCAGGGCTGGGGAGGGCGGTGTCCTCACTTCTCTCTGCCTCTGGCTACCTCAGTGGACTTCAGATGGAGCAGGGCTCTGGGGTGTAGCAGGAGGCACACAGATTTGGGGACTTTACTGTGGACATTTCCTCTCTCCTTTTGGTGGATCTGGCCATCCTGTCACCTTATTTGTCAGAGAAGCCACTTCTCTGGGCCCTTTTTGACAGCCAAAACCTCCTGGGATGCCACTCTGTCATTTTCTTTCATCTGCCTCTTTTCCAAATGTGTGCTTCTGTCATTCGAAAAGCATTTTCTGGGGCACTAGCCTTGTGCCAGGTGCTGGGACCTGGAGGTGATTCAGGCACTGTGCCTGCCCTTGAGGGGCACATGGTCCCAGAGGGGCAGACTGTGAGCAATGATGTTCCTGTAAAGGTCACACGCCCTGGTGAGAGGAGCAGGTGGGCAGGGCAGGCTTCAGGGGAGTCCACACTGGGCCTGAGCACTGAGCACTGGTGCTCTAGCAGGGCCCAGATCAGAGGGTGGGGATAAATCCTGGAAGAAGGGAGGGTGTGTGTGATGCGTGCTCATACTGGTCAGCTCTTTCCACCACAGCCTGTGCCCTCCAAGTATGGCACAGAAACAAAGGGCTTCTGAGCCCTGGGGTGGGACAAGGCATTCCCTTAAGCTGTCTCTGCAAAGGACAATGCCATTTTTCTTTCCTGTGTGATCCTGATTTTAAAGATGAGCACGATTTCTACAGAAAGGTGGGGAGATGGTAGGAACAGAGTTCCAGCCGTTCACTGACCATTTTGTTCTCTTTAGGGTGATGCTGGGGAGGAGCTTCCTGGCCCTCCTGAACCTTCTGGGCCTGTTGGACCCACGGTGAGATTCCCATCCAGGCTTGTCACACACACAGGTGTAAGACCAGGGATGCGGCCAAAACAGCCACAGGCTGAGGACTCTCCTTTTTGGCCCCCAAAGTATCTTGCAGTCAGACCCTAGGGCTTTCTGCCTCTACTAGGACTCTGCAGTGTGCAGCAGCAGAACTGATTTCTATCCAGTTTAAATCCTGCACCTTGAGCATCCCAGAAGTTCTTCAAACTCAACACTTCCCAAGCTGGACTCATTACCCATGCCCCAGACCTGCTTCTCCTCCTGGGTTCCCCATCTCTGAGGATGGCACCCCATCTATGTGGTCACCAAGAGAGAAACATCCTTGAGTGGTCCTCTGCCTTCCCCAGCCCTGCCCAGTGTGTCCCCATGTCCCCCTGAGTCTAGCTGTGCAGTGCCTCCTCCTCCTCTCTTGGGCGATGGCACCAGCCTCCTAACTGGTCTCTCCGCCTCCATGTCACCACTTCCCTTCCCCCACACACATGTTCCCACCACTGTGACCTTCCTAAACACAGCTGTAACCCCCAAACCCAGCTCTTCTGGGTGCCTCTCAGGGGGTGCTCAGTACACACACATTCAATGAATGAATTAGGCCCTGCCTGGTTCCTGTCTTCAGGAGTTAAGTGCTGGAAAGGTGTTTTGAAGATTCCCCTTGTTCTTCAGATACATTTGATGCCATTCAAGTATGCACTGAGGGCTCTCTGGGTGCTCGGCCTCCTGCTGGACTCTGGGCACCCAGTGTGTCTCAGGTTTGGGCTGGCTCTTGAGCCCTAGTTTAGAGGAGCCGATGGACCCACGCACAACTAAGCTTCGAGTCAGGTGGTCCTAGCATCTCACTGAGACCTTGACAGAGGCTAGTGGGAGCACTGTGGAGGGAGAGAATTCTGCCTGGAAACGGGGTAGGGAGGGCTTCGTGTAGGAGGAGACTGCGGAACTGGGCCTTGAAGGATGAGTTGGGAATTGAAAGGCAGGAAAGGAGGCCGAGGACATGAGTGGGCTGCACAGCTGGGAGGCGGCAAGAGAGAAGGGTAGCTGTAGAGGGGAGTGGGAGAAAAGTCAGAGAGAAAACGGGGAGCAGAAGTTATCGGGCTATAGGATATAGGAAACATTTCCCCATTTTGGAGAAAACTCAGTGACGTGGCTGTCCTTGGAGTCTGGCAGTTAAATGCAAGTAGTGGAAATTTCTTCTCTTTCCAGGCAGGAGCAGAAGCAGAGGGCTCTGGCCTAGGCTGGGGCTCGGACGTCGGCTCTGGCTCTGGTGACCTGGTGGGCAGTGAGCAGCTGCTGAGAGTGAGTGTGAAGGAGGACACGACCTGGTGTCTGGGACTGCCTTCAAAATAACCCCAGAGGGAGGGACGTGGGGGCCAGGGACAGATGAAACTGGATTGGCTGCTGCTGGGGTTGCCGGCAGTGAGCTCATGGGGGTTCATTCTACTTTTCCTTGTGCTTGTATATATGTTTGAAATTGTTCACTTTGATCAGTTGCATTGTAAGTGAGTACGAGCCTACATTTATCTTCAGGACCTCCTCACCCCACCTTCTTCCTTTCCCTGGTGGGCTTCTTGAGCAGGCTGCCCTGCAGCAGGTGTGCCCAGTGCCCTTCACCTCTGCCAACTGGCTTTCAATCCTCCCTCCCCCTCCTCTCACCCTATTCATTAAAGAGACCTGCTGGTTTTGTCTCTGGGTGGCTATTCTACTTCAGCTTCCAGAACCTTCCTGAAATCTCCTTCCCTTATGCATTCCCTCCCTGCCTCCCTCTCCAGGCTACTCTTTCTCTTTGGTGCCTCTTGCTCCCCTGGCCTCCTGCCAAGGCTGGAGCTCCACCAGTCCTTTCTGAAATTGCCCCCTGGGGAGCTTCTACCTTCTCTAGCTGCAGCTGGTGCCTCTGTCCCTGAGAGCCTGTGCTGAATCCCTGGTTGAAAGCTCCACTTGGCTGCCCCTCTGCCCACTCCTCATGGCCAGGGCTAGAAGGGTTCTGGACTCCGTGGTTAAATGGAATGGGAGCCAAATGAATCTCCCAGCCTGGTGGGATCAGCCAACCCAGCAATGGGCTAAAAACACTAGTGCACTTCAGAAAGAGTTTTAAAAACAAGGCTACACCACAAGCAGTTTTTTTTGTTTTTTTGTTTTTTTTTTTTTGAGATGGAGTCTTGCTCTGTCGCCCAGGCTGGAGTGCAGTGGCGCGGTCTCGGCTCACTGCAAGCTCCACCTCCCAGGTTTACTTACTCCATTCTCCGGCCTCAGCCTCCCGAGTAGCTGGGACTACAGGTGCCGGCCACCACGCCCGGCTAATTTTTTGTATTTTTAGTAGAGACAGGGTTTCACCATGTTAGCTGGGGTGGTCTTGATCTCCTGACCTTGTGATCTGTCCTGACTGACCTCACAGTTAATCAGAAAACTAAGTTCACCAGAGCACCTCTCAGAATTCCAACTAATTGGATCTTTCTTGTATTCAGCCTTTTGGGAGAAAACACGATATGATGGGCTCAGAAAGACTGAGATTCAAATCCCAGTTCTGCTACTAATTAGCTGTGTGTCTGAGAGCCCTTGAGTCGCATGGTCTCACTGAGCCTTATTTTCCGCATCTGCTAAGTGGGATCACCAAACCCTACATGTAGGATTGTTGAAAGAATTTGAGAGATTGCATGAAGCACATACTCAGTATCTCATTCGGTATTCCCCCACTGTTTCTAACAGAGTCTTTGTGTTTTTAGGGTCCTCCAGGACCCCCAGGGCCACCTGGCTTACCTGGGATTCCAGGAAAACCAGGAACTGATGTTTTCATGGGACCCCCTGGATCTCCTGGAGAGGATGGACCTGCTGGTGAACCTGGGCCCCCGGTGAGCAACTGAAGTCTTCTCCCCATCTCTGTGGCTGTGGGGCTTCCTTTAGCAGGGGAGGGGTGTACAGATTGCAAAACCCAGCACTGTCCAAGGTTCGCGATGGGGAGAGAGCAGCTAGCTGTTTGTAAACAGAAATCCTCCTCATCTGAATCATTGCTGAGATTCGAAAGAAGCAGCAGCCAAGAAAAACATCATCCTACGTATTGTTTTGCTGCTTTATCATAGTCAATACAGATGGCCCCCTACTTACGAATGGTTCAGCTTAAGATGTTTTTGACTTTACAGTGGTGCAAAGTGATGCACATTCAGCAGAGACTTTACCTTGAGTACCCATACAGCCATTCTGTTTTCACTTTCAACACTTTATTATAAAATAGGCTTTGTGTTTGATGACTTTGCCCAACTATAGGCTAATGGAAGTGTTCTGAGTATGTTTAAGTTAGGCTAGGCTAAGCTATGATGTTCAGTAGATTAGGTGTATTAAATGCATTTTGGACTTAAGATATTTTCAACTTGCAATTGGTTTATCAGATGTAGCCCCATTGTAAGTCAAGAAGCGTCTGTACAGGAGACACAGATTCATAAAGAATCTTGGAATCATAGGCCATCAGGGCTGGGCCTGGGGTAGGAGACCCTTGGAGACCATCTGGTCCAACCCTGTCTCTAACTTCCCCATAGAGGAGGAAATGTAATCCAGAGAGTGAAGGACAGTTAGCCACAGGTGCACAGTCAGCAGTGACCCAGCCTGGGCCAAGGACTAGGTTCCTGCCTTGCACCTGACATGAGGCCCTGGGCCCACCAGCCTCACCTGCCTCCCAACCCTGCCCTCCTTTTCTAGCAAGCGTGTGTATGTGATATTTAGCAGAAATGTTGTGGGTTGATTGTCACTGATGTTCCCCAGGGCCCTGAGGGACAGCCTGGAGTTGATGGAGCCACCGGCCTTCCCGGGATGAAAGGGGAGAAGGTACGGGGAACACGGGAGGGTCCCACCACATGGGAGCCACCAGGCCCACACTACTCTCTCTGACCCCTAAACCTGACCTTGCCTCTTATGTGACTGACCCCCTGGCCTCCTGAAATCCCCTGCTGGCCACTTCTGCTGGATGTCTCCATCATGGGACTCATCATGCCCAAGCCTGAACTCAGCACCTTCCCTGCCCACTCTTGTCTGCCCCTAGCTTCAGTGAATGGTGTTGCCATCTACCTGGTCACCTGGAGCGAGAAATGGAATCTTCTCTAACTCCTCCTTCCCTCCCTTTCCTGGTATGATTGGTCAGTGCCAAGATGGCCCAGTCTGACCTCCACATCTCTCACTTTTGTCTCCCCACTGAGCTGGACTCATCTCTTCTCATTCGCACGGTGGCCTTGGGCTCCCAGTTGCTGTCCCATTCTCTCCACCCACCCTCCAGCCTCCTGCCCAGTTCACCTTCCTGTAGCAGGCTCTCGTCAGCCCCTGCCCTGGCTACTGAGAAAAGATCAAGGGCTCAACTGCCTGCAGGACACACCCTAGCTCTGTGCAGACATCTGGCCCTTCCTGATTCGCACAAGCTGCCTCTGTAGTGCATCCCCCAACTCCTCACACGGCCTCTTGGCCAGTGGGCTGGTTCTGCCCAAATGCTCTGGGCACGCTCTTCCCTTCTGTCCTCCTGGCCTTTGCACATGGTTTTCTCCCTGTTTGGGATGTCCTTTTCCTTTTGTCATCCTCCAAGACCCAGTTCAGATACATCCTCTGGGGAGCTCTCCCTGACTCATTATGAGCAGAAAGCACCCCTCCTTCCTCCCCTTTCTATGAGCATCATAGGAAGTTCCCATGCTATTGAGAACCTCCCTTGCCAGTGACACTAAAGGTGTTAGCTTACCTGTCTGCTCCTCACCCCCACCCTGACATAGAGCATAGTACTGCCTCTCTCTCCTTAGAACCTAGCACAAGCCTCTATTAGTGTTTGATGCATGAATGAAACTTTTTTCAGACACCATTAGTCTACTTTTCCCAGAGTCTGGCCTGCCTTCATCCTCTTCATTCTCTGTCTGTAAGCTGGTCCTGCCTCCTGTCTGCAAGCCTGTGCTGGTGCTACCTGGGGCGTGTATGTGTAGGGGGTGCTTTCTGCCTCTGCAGTGTTCCCAGCTTGATGAGATAAGCCATGTCTGTCAAAGGAAGGCAATAAAGACAAGGTGAGCCCTGTGCTAGGGATGCGATCAGTGGGTTTTACTGGGGTCTAGAGGAGGAAGAGAGATCTCAGCTGGGATCAGAAGTGGGGCCTTCTGTGAACCTCTCATGGACAAAGACGTGGAAAATGCTGACTCTGTAGACACCACCATCATCACTGAACTGAATTTCTAGTTTCCGTCAGCTCTGGAGTATGTTTATTTTAATTGGAACCATAACTCAATTTTCGTGGAAAGCTTATTTCTCAGAAAAAGATACAATTGTCAAGCTTTATAGAACTCATTTTACATGTACCAACAGTTTTACAGAAATTAAATTTTGCAGGAAGCACCACAGACCTACACTCTTCTTACCTGTTCTTCTTCCAGGCTTCCCCCCACCCACCCACACACACCCCTCCCATACTCTGTCTCGAACTTAAAGATACCCACACCCACAACTGCATACAAAACACCCTTGCACAGGCACTCTGCAGCTGCTTGAAGAATCAGCAGTGCAAGGAGCAGCAGGCTTGCCTAGGGTGAATGTTGGAGATCAATCACATTTGTTTCTGAAATTTGCTATGCATCTCAATTTGTTGCACTGTGCACATATGAGGTTTTCTGATCAAGCAAAAACAGACTTGGAAGAACTTGGAAATTTGCATCTGGAGAGCTGGCAGGAAACTTTGCACATGATATTTACCTTAAAAACAAAACAAAACCAAAAAAGTCCCTAATAAACCAAGGTGCATATTCAGTATGTAAAATAACAAAAAATGTGCTAAAGGAAATGAACAGCTTCAGGGCTGTAGTAGATCATAAGATCCAATGATTCGTTTGATCTTTGACTCCCCATCAACAATATCTGCCCTTCAACTTGCATACCTCCAGTGACAAGGAACTCATCTCCTGCCCAGGCAGTGCCTTGCACCGTTGGATAGATCCACTTATAGGGAAGTCTTTCCATTTGCTGTGGTGAAATCAGCCTCCTTTCTCTTTAGCACAGCACATAGACCAATCTAGGCAGTTATCTAAAATGGAGTTTTCTCTACAAAGAATAAGGTTCAGGTTATTTAGCTGGAAAAAAATGTTTTTTATATAATAATTATTATTATAAAATATGAGATTGAGATCAAAACATGATGCTCATTAAGAATTCATCAAATATCTTAAGTATGAGCTAAGCTATGAGGACCCAAAGGCATAAGAATGATATAACAGGCTGGGTGCGGTGGCTCACACCTCTAATCCCAGCACTTTGGGAGGCTGAGATGGGCGGATCATGAGGTCAGGAGTTCAAGACCAGCCTGACCAACATGGTGGAACTTCGTCTCTACTAAAAATACAAAAATTAGCCGGGCGCAGTGGCACAAACCTGTAATCCCAGCTGCTCGGGAGGCTGAGGTGGGAGAATCGCTTGACCCGGGAGCCAGAGGTTGCAGTGAACCGAGATCGCGCCACTGCACTTCAGCCTGGGTGACAGGGTGAGACTCCGTCTCCAGAAAAAATTGAAAAAAGATTGATACAACAGACTTGGGGGAAAGGGTGGGAGGGAGTGAGGGATAAAAGAGTACAGATTGGGTACAGTATACACTGCTCAGGTGATGGGTGCACCAAAATCTCAGAAATCACCACTGAAGAACTTACTCACGTAACCAAATACCATCTGTTCCCCAAAAAACGTATTGAAATTATACAAATTAAAATATTTTTTAAATGATACCTCAAAAAGAATTTATCAAATAGATTATTCTATGCTGAGTTCGATGATAGAAATATTCCTTACTTTATTTTTCCCAAATCAAGATGATCAACTAACTCTTAAGATCTTTAGCCCAAGAAGGAATGGGTGAGGAGTAGCCTGCTTTCTCAGCAGTAGAATGTTTCTAGAAAGAATGCAGAAGAACTTGCTGAAGAAGATGGATCTCTGAAAAATCATTCCTTTCTGCTTTTGCACTGCAGATTCTGCCATTCAGTTCTCGGAACACACCTAGTATTAACAGTTGTTGTTGATTTTCTACTTTCAGAATCTAAGTCATTCATGTTATTCTGCAGTCTCAAAAGGTACTGGGACACCTGGGCAGGAAAGAGTTTGTGCTTGGAAATTTTCTTCAGTGTCCAGAATTACTGTGGAATGCTGAATTGCCAGTAATTGCCTTTGAGTAATTTCACTGAGCTGCCAAACTGTCATTGTAAAATCAGCTTCTGTCTTTTCCGTTGATGTAAGAGAAATACAATTAGATCATCATCACCTTCCCTTTCTCCAAGCAATCCCAATTGGTCTTTGAACAATTCTCTAAACCTTGTATAAGAAAGAAAAGAGAAGTAAGCTGCTTTTGCCTAGGATGCAGTAATGGGTTTAGACCTTCTAACAACATGTTTAAATGAAACACTGAAATAGTTGCCTAATTTCCTATTTTATATCTTCTTTCATTATCAGAAGTGTTTGGTTCAACATCTGGATTATAGGCCTCCATAAAACCAAATAGATGGCTGGGTACGGTGGCTCACTCCTGTAATCCCAGCACTTTGGTAAGCCTAGGTGGGTGGATCACCTGAGGTCAGGAGTTTGAGACCAGCCTGGTCAACATGGCGAAACCCCATCTCTACTAAAAATACAAAAAATTAGCTGGGCATGGTGGTGGGCACCTGTAATCCCAGCTACTCGGGAGGCTGAGGCAGGAGAATCACCTGAACCCGGGAGGCCGGGGTTGCAGTGAGCCGAGATCGTGCCATTGCACTCCAGCCTGGGCAACAAGAGCAAAACTCCATCTCAAAAAAAAAAAAAAAATCATATAGACCATAGTCAATTGTAACAGAAAAGAAACTGGTTATCAGTATTACAAACAGCAGAAGGAAAACCAACAGACATCCACAAGGCAGTAAGATGTGCTGTCTCAGAAGCCACACAAGCAAAAAGAATCCTCATCTCCATTAGGTTCTTTGAGGTTCCTGTGTGCTGAAATTGAGTAATGTCCTTAGAAAATCCAATTCACCACAGTAAGCCAACATTTTGAATCAATTCTAAACCACGATGTTGTAACAGACGGCACTATTTTACCTCATTCCTTTGCAATGTTTCCATTAGTGAACTGATACCTTCATATTTCATCACTTTTAAAACCATACTTGCAGCTCTGCTATTTGGAATTCCAAGATTGCATGCATGCCCTCACTGCACAAAAATTCTCTCACTAAGAAATAATGTACAACTCCAACATCACCATTTTGGGAATAGGAGCCTTCCCTCAGCCTGTTCATTGGAGCTCCTCCTTTTCACCCTGCCTGTTCACATAAGTTCCAGTAAAGTGGACTCTTCTACCCACAAGTTAATCTACTCGTGTTCCAAGCTGATGGCCATCTTATCTGTGAGTCAATGGAATGGATTCAGATACTCTCTTTTTACCATGTCTAAGCTGGATAAAATCATCTAAGACCATAAACCAAGGCCCATGATATCTTCTAGAACTTCCTTTGAAACTCTATAAGATGCCCTCTTGATTGGAAAGGAATGAGGAAGGCAACTGAAACAATTCAGTTTTTCACTTTATGGACATAATTTTCTGTAACAAGATCAGCCGGCCATGCAGCTACAAGGTTTTTAGAGGGAGGCTACTTTAGTTTCTGTTTCACAACAATCCTGATGGTAGTTTGACTTGTTACTGAAAAGATGCACAAGATTGGCACTTTCATTAAAGACAGTTTGCAATGGGCAGCCAGCAACAAGCCAATCATACCCAAGAGGAGCAGACATAGCAACTGTAGCCTCTGGGTTAGGCTATAAAATTGGCATCCAGTTATTGGAGTCATGTTTCCACTGCAGGTGGAAGGTCACACTTAGTTTCTCCCTGGTGAGGCTGGCCAGCAGGGAGGTGACAGAGCCTAGTCGCTGTCACTTCTTTCACCGAGCACACCTTCTCCTCCCATCTCCCCAGAATGGCTGGAGTGTCCCTGCTGGCTCCTTTGCCACAGAGGCACCAACTTTCCATGAAGCTGCCCCTGGAGACCTTATGGAGGGCTTTGCTCGCAGAAATTCCTTGCCACTCCAGCCTCAGAGCCTGCCTCCAGAGCCTGGTGCCTCACCTGGGAGCCCAGACCACCCTCAGCCCCTGTGATCCCCATTCCTAGGCCAAGAACTGGGTAGTGTGTCCCAATAGGAAAACACTGCAAGAGATGGGACCCTTCCCATGCCCCACGCATGCCCCCAGGTGAGAGGCATTTGTCTTCCTCCAGCATCAGGTGGAAACCCTCACCTAGCAAACCCATGAACCTCACCCATGGGAGCAGCCAGTTCCGTGAGGAAGGTTATCACAACTACCAAGCAAACAGCATGGGCTCGAGTCTGTGAAGGAGAAAGGGGGAGATTGTTGCGTGGGGGTTGCCTATTGTGTGCAGGCAGTTTTGCGGACACGTCATGGCCTCATCTTTCTCATCTATCCTGAGAGCTTTGCTTAGGCTCATACTCAACTAGAGTCCCAAAGTTTCAGAGCTGGAAGGAACCTGCAAATTGCTTTAGTCCCTGGTTTTCTGTGCCCTGGCAGAGCCATGGGACTTTGTGGAAGTGCCTTCGGGCTGGTAGGTGAGGACAGAACAACTCTACTTCAAGCATTTATTAAAATTAAAATTAAATTGTAATTATAAAAGTAATATATGAATATAGTTTTCATTGCCTCATGTGTCCTATTTCCTCTTTAATTATTTTTGTTAGAGTAGGTCCTCCAGTCATATTTTCACAGACTGTCTGTAGATGGCAAACTTTCTGAGACCCTGGATTTTTTAAAATGTTTTTATTTTCTTATTTGGTTGAGTATAGAATTCTGGGTTGAAAGTCATTTGCCCTTGATGATTTGAAGATGATCACCATCATCTTCCAACATCCGGTGTTGTCAGCACAAAGTCAGATTCACTCTGGTTCTCACTCTATTGGAGGTCATCTGATTTTTCTCTTTGGCAAATTTGGGGATTTATTGTTCTTTATTCTTGGTGTTTAAAAATTCCTCTGCATTGTTACTAAATGTGGATTATTGTTTCTATTTTATTTTTATTTTTTAATTTATTTTTATTTATTTATTATTATTTTTTGAGATGGAGTCACGCAGTGGTGCGATCTTGGCTCACTGCAACCTCCTCCTGGGTTCAAACGATTCTCCTGCCTCAGCCTCCTGAGTAGCTGGGATTACAGATGCACACCACCACACCCAGCTAACTTATGTATTTTTAGTAGAGACGGGGTTTCACCATGTTGGCCAGGCTGGTCTCAAACTCCTGACCTTGTGATCTGCCCACCTCAGCCTCCCAAAGTGCTGGGATTACAGGCCTGAGCCACCAAGCATGGCCAATGTGAATTATTTTTTAAATGTATTCTTTCATTTATCCTTCTTGGTACTCTATGGACTTTTTTTGGGGGGAGGGGTGCCTTTTAATCTGGAGACTTCTGTGTTTTTTCAGAAAATTTAAACACTGCATTCCTTCTTTCTCTTTATTCTCTCCTCTGCCACTCCAATTAAACCGATGTTGGAACTTCTGATTGTGGCTTCTATCTCTCTTACTACTTTGTCATTCTGTCTAGGTCTTTTTACCCTCTTGTGTTGCTTTCTGGGAGAATTCTGTAGCTTGATCTCTGTATTAATTCTCTCTTTAGGTGTGTCTATTCTGTTATGCAGTCCTTCTGCAGAGTTCTGCATTTCGACAGTTTTCTATTTATAATTTCCAAGATCTCTAATTGGTTCTTTATCATAACCACTGTTTTTATTTCATAATAGCTTGTCTTTGTGTCATGGCTATGTTATCCTACCTTTTCTCTGTGAGAATGTGTGTCTTATACTCAATGTCCTGATTGAATTGTTTTCTTAACTCCATTTCCTTGGATGTAAATTCTGTAGTTGACTTAGTTGTTTCTCACAGTATTGCCTTGCCTCAGATGTTTGTGTTTCTTTCTTGTGTGTTTACTTGTGAAATTGGGATCCTGCCTGAGTCTGTTTTCTGCCTCTGTTGGTGCAGACTGTTGGGAGGTGGGCAGTAGCCCCTTCTGAGACATGCAGGGTTCAGGAAGGGGATGGAAGGAATAAGATGTGCCATCAGGCAGGGCACCTCAGCAGCTGATCTTCCGCGTGTAGGGTGCCCTTGGACCTCACAGAGTTTCCTAGTCATCTGGGGCTCTGCCCTATGTCTTTAGCCCAATAAACAACTGTTGTTTTCTAAAATTAAGGTATCCATATTTTCTCCTTGGCAGGAGTGAGGGTGGGAGGGGAGGGGAGATGGGCAGGGCTGGACAGCTAGCCTGCTGCAGAATTTCAACCTATCTACCTTCTGGGGCCCAGGGGCCACATCATGCACCTGACTTCCATCACAGCTTCACAGCAGACTTTTCTCCCTGTGGTTTCTCTTGATGGCTGAGGCCCCTGTCTTCAACTTCCCTGTTTTCCCCTTGGCATTTCTATTTTGGATTTAATGCCACTCCCCATCTTATTTTTGAGCACGGCTATTTTAGAACTATCCATTCTCTCATTTCCATGGATTTGATATAAGGAGGAGACTGTAGCCCAGGAACAAAAATGACTGGGGGGAAGGACATAGTCTTTGATGGCTGGTACATCAGCATCTCTCTCAGGACCTCCTGTGTGGCATGCAATTGCTGACTTCATCTCTTGCAGGTGCATTTGTGGTTTCCTCAGAGATTCTCCATCTGGGGGCCCCCTACCACAGTCCTCTGATGTAGGCCACTGTCCTCATTGCTGACCACTCCTGACCGCCCACCTGCTTTGGTCCTCTCCTCTGCTTGGAGCTCACAGCCGACTCCTTTCTGTGACATCTGCATCTAACCCCCCAGGAAACTGTAGTGTGGTCCCCACTGGGTGTGGACATGCAACCTGCCCTAATGCAACCTCCTCCCCAATTCTGTCTTCTGGGGACTACTCCAGCCAGCTTTGGGTCTTTAGATCTTTCCACAAGAGAGCCAGTCATCATCCCCCATATATCCAAAAGTCTAGGGGATACATTTCAGATCATGAAGCCCCTTCCCTCGCTTTAGAGTGGGTGAAGTACCCTCTACCTCCGTCATGGGAAGGGTGGGGAAGGGGACCACTCCAGTCCACTGGCAGCTCTCCAAGCGAAATCTTCTATGATCTCTCCCTCATTAATCTTTAACTTCTCTGGTTTACTCTTGCAGTAGGTGATGAGCTGATGGTTGAAAAGTGGGTTTCACAAGCTTTCAGCATGACCTGCCCAACAGACTGGCACCTATTGTAATGTGTTTGGTTTGGAGACACCAATCTGAGACAGAAAGAGTCCTATTTTAATATCCTATTTCCTTGGAGTCCATAATTGTGCATTGTCTTCAGAACACACCTCATGACATATGCATTAATTGGTCCATGTTTTTGTTTTTGTTTTTTTCAGGGAGCAAGAGGGCCTAATGGCTCAGTTGGTGAAAAGGTAAAAAAAAAAAAAAAAAAAAAAAAAAAAGAACTTTCTTCTCCCTCCTCCCCTTTCTTTGAGTTTACTATAATTGGACTGCTGGGCTGGAATATTGAACATATAAATGTCATGGAACAGAGAGGAACACATCTCAAAGGAATTGCTCAGAGAAGGCAGAACAGCTGGGGATGGTGGGGAGTAAACACACTTCAATGTTTTCTCCTTCCTCACCCCTCCCTCCAAATGCATTCAAATGAGTGCATCAGCTTATCTCCAGGTGAACTGTCAATTAGCAAGACAGCTGTTTCTGTACCATTAAGTGGTACCGATCAGAGAATTCATCAACCTAATTAACTTCAAGGAGTGATTTTCTGATTCAGGCATGCATGTTGTTCCTTCCATGAGTGAACCCAGGGCTAGATAATCAGCCTGCCCTCTTTCCTACAGGGTGACCCTGGCAACAGAGGCTTACCTGGACCCCCGGGGAAAAAGGGACAAGCTGGCCCTCCTGGGGTCATGGGACCCCCAGGGCCTCCTGGACCCCCTGGGCCCCCAGGCCCTGGATGCACAATGGGACTTGGATTCGAGGTACTTTTCCCCTTTTCTGTGGTTATAAAAATGATGTGTACTAAGGGCTACTAGAAAGACCAGCTAGCTAAACCCTGGTCTCAGGGCAGAGGCTGTGCGGATTCCCCTGTGAGCCGCCAGCTTCCAACACCACACCTGGCACAAGTAGGTGCCCAGGAACTGGATCTGAAATTCTCATTCTTGCTCCTTCCCCAGGATACCGAAGGCTCTGGAAGCACCCAGCTATTGAATGAACCCAAACTCTCCAGACCAACGGCTGCAATTGTAGGTCGCCTCTGAAACCTTCATTATGAGGGTTGTCACACTGTCACACTACAGTGAGGAAGCTGTGGGCTGCATCCCGGCTCTGCCACTTTCAATAACTCACCTTCTCTGTGCCTCCAGCCCCCAACTGTGCAATAGGGAAATGAGATGCTCTTTACAGCTTGTGTCTTTGAGGAACAGCATAGAAGTTTTGCAGAAAACATGATGTGGGAAGAGAACTTGAAAATCATTTTTATCTCTCTTCATCTATTTCTCTCTCTCCCTCTGCCTCTTCTGTCTCTTACCACTAAGCATCTCTACTTTATTTCCTCCCTCCAGTTGCCCCATTCAATGCACACACTTTGCCCCAGGTCAAAGCCCTGTGCTCCTGGCAGGTGCCCCTCCCTACTGCCTCCAGCCCCTGGCAGGTGTTGTCCATCTCCTGCCATGAAGCGATGCCGGCTCTCAGGAGGACCGATCCCCTGGATTTCATTCTCTTTGTTAAATGGGCCCCAGAGCTGAGCCCTTCAGTCTAGCACAGATTCAGGGTCAAGAGGACCCTCACCCAATGCTGGGAGAGGGCCGCTGATTCTCTCACTCTGTGGAGTGTTGCTTCCTTCTGACTCCAGAAGGGGCATTTTTCGCTTATTCTTGGTTCCCATTGCCTGGGACAAAATAAGCATAAAAGCTTAGGGGGAGATGGTGAGACAAGAGGCTAGATGGAGGTGAGCAAAGTGACTAGAAGAATATTTATTTTTGTTTATTTTTCCAGGGTCTCAAAGGAGAGAAAGGAGACCGGGGACCCAAGGTGAGGTCACAGAGCCAAGGTGGGGGTGGGAGGGCTTTCCAGCCTGGTTCTGGGAGCATTATCGCTGTACAGTGAATTTTTTTCTCACTTCTTGCTGCTTTGACCAGGGAGAAAGGGGGATGGATGGAGCCAGTATTGTGGGACCCCCTGGGCCGAGAGGGCCACCTGGGCACATCAAGGTCTTGTCTAATGTGAGTATCATTCAGGTCAGAGCTTGTCTACATATTTTCCACCTTTGCCAAAGGGAGGAGAAGGTTGTCCATGACTTCAAAGCTTCTGGCTATGCAGGAGGCATGTAGCCAGTGCCTGGTGTTAGAACTTCCACCTGCCAGCACCTACCTGTTCCTCCCCCAGTTCCACTGTTCTCTCACATGGTGCTTCTAGATTTGTCTCTTCTGATTAGCAGCATTTGGGGTCAATTGAAAAAACAGGCTAGGAGCATTAGAGATGTTGGGGTCTTGAGGAAGCCCCAGATAAGCAGTGCACACTTTCCCCAGCCAAGTGCAGAGCACATTGAGAAATAAAGCCAAAGATGAGGAGGTAGGCCCAGATACCACCTTGATTACTGATGGAGGTTAGGTGGAAGGCCTTCACCCAGTGGGAGAGCCACATGTTCCTGCCAATCAGACGGACTTGCCCATGGGTTGCCAGATGTGCTTCCCAGAGGCAGGCAGATCTGAAGGAAAGAAGTGTGGCTGAGCTGGGCATGCCCCTTGGTGCTTCCCAAACTGCCCATCAGGAAGGTCCCTCCACCTCACCACGGAGGGGGTACAGGAGCCAAGAGAAGCCAAGGATTACACCCTTCATGTCACAGGAAACATCTTTATGTGCTCCCTTTAGATGGCTCTTTGATAGTCTATTAAAACTAAAACTAAAAATACCCATTCTCCAAAATCCCACATGGGAAGATGTCCACACAAATGGAGGAAAGCATCCTCTTCCCAACTCTCCTCAACAAGGAAGGCAGTAACTTCATCCTTCAAACCCCCATCATGGTACAGCAAGTGGCCTATTTACATGTCTGACTCCTCCACCTGCCCTCTGGGGCTTTTTTTCTTCTCTGTATCCCCACCACTGGCCTCATAGTGCTGGTTTAATCAGTGTTTGCTGAATGAAATGTTTGGTGTCATTGAATTCTCTATTCCTATGATAAATACTCTGGCATAAGCACTCATGGGCATGCACTCTGCATCAGGTCCATGCTAGGCTCTGTGGGTATAAAGATAAGTAAGGCCAGGCACAGTGGCTCACACCTGTAATCTCAGCACTTTGAGAGGCCGAGGCAGGAGGACTGCTTGAGCCCAAGAGCTTAAGACCAGCCTGGGCAACATAGCAAGACCCTGTCTCTGATATTAAAAAAGTTTCTATTTTAAAAAATTAAAAATAAAGATAAGTAAGACAGAGTTCCTGTCTTCAAGGAGCCTCCAGTGAGGTCAGGAGAAGGGCTGTAACAGAGCTGTAACTGACAGGCAAATGAACATAAAGAGGGGAACAAGGGAGAAAAGACTGTTTGGGTTATGAGGAATCAAGGAAGACTTCCTAGAGGAAGTATCTTTGAGCAGGGATTGGAAAGCTGAGAAGGATTTTACCAGGTAGGCACGGAGGACAGAACTTCCAAAGCTCTAGTGTCAGGGATGCCCTGAGCCAAAGCAGAGGGTAGGACAATGTGGTGTGCTCCAGGTCGAGGGAGCTGACTGGCAGAGGATAGTGCACATGGGTGTGTGTAGAGAATGATGGAAATTGGAGAGAAGGCTGGAATGTGGGCTGGGACCAGATCGCATGCATTTAATATTAAGACATCACATCATGAAAAATCCTGGCCCTTTAGAGAGAAATAACATCATGCTGGTAGACCACAGAAAGACAAGCCCCAAATAACTGGAAAAAGGATGACTAAAGTTAGAAGAAAAAAAAAACACGATTTTTAAAAATCAAATATGTGTAAGGGTGTGGGGAAAAAGGTAATCTCATGTGCTTCTGGTGGAAGTGTAAATTGGCCCCTTTGGATGGCTCTTTGGCAGTCTTTTAAAGCTAAAAATATTCATATTCCAAAATTCCACATGGAAAGATCTCCACACAATATGGCCGAGTGAAAAAAGCAAGTTGAGGAGTAATACAGCCTGATGCCATTTATGTAAAATAACCACATGGACAAACACACACACCCCAACACTGTGCTTTCTGTGGGTGCATATAATATGTATATGTTTAAACTCTAAAAAGAGAAGACATTCGTATATTGTGTGATTTAAAAATTAAGTAAAGGAGGAAAGTGCGAAGGCAGCTCAGAGCTGTTTTATAAGAAGGGGGAGGGAGAGCTGTGTTTGGCAGTGGGCTGAGGGCGTTCTCAGTGTCTGCGGTGTTCCGCTATGCTGGGTGACTTTAATTAAAGCTTTGCTGCCAGGAACAAGGCAGAACACATGCCATCCTTTGTCCTCATTGTCTGATTTTTCTCTTTTCAGTCCTTGATCAATATCACCCATGGATTCATGAATTTCTCGGACATTCCTGAGCTGGTGGGGCCTCCGGTTGGTATCTACAGCTGCCCCAGAATGTGGCTTTTACCCAGACGCCCCTGTTGAAACAAAGTCGGGTTACTTTGGAATCCTTTTAGCTCCTGAAGCGTAGAGCTAGAATATATCAAAGTAGAATGGAAAGAAAGCTTTGCATTTTTTGAAAAGTTGCTTTCACATTAATTTGATCATGTGGAAAGTTGTCTCCAAAGCAGTGGAAGCTTCCAGTCCTGTGCACCGGCAATATGTGTCATGGAAATTAGAGAATGCTAAGTAACAAACAGATGACATCTGTTGCACACTTTTGGCCTGCTTTTATTTACATTATCTTATTTCATAGTATAGGAAGAGCCTGGAGACACCTTTCCTTGTGCTCAAGGGAAACGAGGAAGAAATGGACTCATTCTAGTCTTTATAGCCCCATTTTAGAACTCTGGAAATTATCTGTGTGTTAATTTCCAGATCTCTAAAATGGGATTATAATGTATATAAGAAATACACATTATTTTTGGCCAGAAGTGGTGGCTCACGCCTGTAATCCCAACACTTTGGGAGGCTGAGGCAGGCAGATCATGAGATCAGGAGTTTGAGACCAGCCTGGCCAACATGTTGAAACCCTGTCTCTACTAAAAATACAAAAATTAGCTGGGCATGGTGGCATGTGCCTGTAATCCTAGCTACTTGGGAGGCTGAGGCACGAGAATCACTTGAACCTGGGAGGCGGAGGTTGCAGTGAGCCAAGATCGCACTACTGCACCCCAGGCTGGGTGACAAAGTGAGACTCTATCTCAAAACAAACAAACAAAAAAAACCAAAATATACATTATTTCTGCAAGTTGGCAGAGTTGACTCATGGCACAATGGCCCTAAGATGAAGGAAGCTTCCTCCTACAGCCTGTAGAATAAATACTCATTGCATCTCCCAGCATCTGCTGGTCAGCACAGGAGAAAGGAAGGAGCTCTGGCCTTAGGAGCCTTGAGGTTGCAGCCCCATCTTCTCCACACACCACTCTGAGCCCCTAATTCTCTTCTCTGATGACACCTCACCAGCCTTTGAGGCAACTTGTAAGAAGTGAGGGATGTGAAACTGCTTAGCACACTGTGACGCTCTGTGCAAGTCATTGTGGAGACAGGTTTATGCCTTCACAGCTGTGCAATGCCGATGTCCCTGCCTCTCCTGCAGATCCCCATGAGGTTGCCCTGAATCCCATTCATCCAGATCCAGGGGAAAATCTAGTGCTGCCCCAAGATTCCTGCAAATATCTGCAGACTCTTCTGGCACCAGGTTTCTCCCCTGCTGAGTGACCTCATTGTGAGCCATCTTCCTGTCTCCTCTGTACTGCATCCATTTGATTTCTATGAAAACCAATAATCCAAAATACCTCAATAATGAAACCCTAGAGCAAACCAGCTAACAAGTGAAAGTTTCTTCCCAAGGGGTCTTTGTTTTCCCCAAGCTATTGGAGGTTTCTGATATTAGGTGGGTGGATACTGAAGCAAAACACAGAGAGACTAAAACCAGAGATTGGGCATCCCTGTCCTCACAGTCCCTGGGCCTTGTCTGCCTGCATTACCATGCCTCCACCCCTTCTCTCTCTTCCTTGCTTTCTTTCCAGTCACTGTCCTCCCCTTGGCAAATCCAGACCCTCACAGGGCCCCTTCTTCCCTAATGCTGTGTCAATCCGTCTTCCCAGCTGTGGGAACATGCTGAGGCCTTTGGAAGGGGCTGGGAGGGAGGGGGTCCTGCTGACTCTGGAAATGCCGCTCCTAATCCAGCGTGCTCTATCTTTGGTGTGTCACAGGGGCCGGACGGGTTGCCTGGGCTGCCAGGATTTCCAGTAAGTACCACCCTCGCTGTCTTCTATCTGTGCCCCGTGGCTGCGATCATTCTGTTCCTTCCACCTAGAATGGCATTTCCTCCATCTATGCATGACTGAGCTCCAGGGGCATCTTGTTCATTAACTTTTTCTTGATATTTTTGATAGATATGGGGTTTTGCCATGTTGCCCAGGCTGGTCTGGAACTCCTGAGCTCAAGAAATCCATCTGCGTCAGCCTCCCAAAGTGCTGGGATTACAAGCATGAGCCCCTGAGCCTGGCTGATTTTCTGAACTTTTTACATTTTCTAAAGGCACATATCATATGATAACACTAAAAATAGTGCTAACTAGACGTTAAAAAACAAAAGAGAGAATGGCAACCATGACCACGATTGTGACCATGACTCTGACCATGATTCTTGGTTAGCAGAAGAAAAGGCCAAACCCCTAAGCTCCAGCCCCGGCTTGGCTGCTCCAAGACCTGGGGCACATTTCAGAGCACACTTTCCTCTAAATGAGTGGTCCTGTGTTCCTGAGGGAGTCCCAGGCTCTGCAGGAGAGCCTCCAGGACCTCCACTGCAGGGAGTAAGGAGGGGGCCAAATAGGCACATTCCAGGCCACTGACCTTCAATAAGGGAAGCTTCACTGGACATATTTGTATATATTAGGCTTTCATTTAAGACTTTATTTGGGGGAAAAAAAAGGAAGGAAAAGAGTTTCACTGCTAAACAATAATAACAAATAGTTGAAAGCCACTGCTGTAATGGGTAATTCACTCTTTCATCCAGACAAGACAGGAACTTGTGAAAAGTTAAAATAGCAATAAAGTGTTGAAATGCCTTTTTGAGGCAGATGTGGCTGTGTGAGTCATTGTCACAGGCATTCAGTGTCTGTTGGAGTTGAGAAGAGGTTGCCTCTGGCTGCATGTGTGGATTTGGCTCTGCAGAGGGGTGGGTGGGCATTCCTATGGGGGGGGTGGCATGAGTGCTGGTGCAGAAGCAATGGAGGAGTGCAGAGAGGCTGCGGGAAGGGAGTCAACCTGATGGTGTGGGAGATGAGATGTTGATGCCTGGCTGGGATGGGCTGGGGTGCCAGGCTAAGGTACCTGGGTCCCATCTCATAGGTAGTGGGGAGCCAGAGAAGGGGTGGGAGTCGTGGAAGGGGATAGTGGAGGAGGCGGGCTGCAGGGTGGCCTGGAGGAGCCGTGGGGCAAGCAGATGCAGCAGGCCCAGATAATAGGCTGGATCAGTAGTGCCCAGTTGGAGGAAACCAATGTTCAAAAAAGTGTGAAGCCTCAAGGCCTCTTAACACTCAGTGCTATCTTCTTTCTGCCAGACCACAGTTTCTGGACCACTTAAGGTTAAGAAAATGTCATAGGTAATCATGACTTCCACCTACCTGGGGGATGGCAGTGTGTATTCTACTGTTGAGAAAAAATATATTTCTGATTGGTTTATGCATTTTAATCTTAACGAACAACCAAATACTATATAACAATTCCTTCCAGGGTCCTAGAGGACCAAAAGGTGACACTGGTTTACCTGGCTTTCCAGGACTAAAAGGAGAACAGGTAAGAGGGGCCCAGGTATCTGAGTGAGATTGGGCGCTGGAATTTGCTAAACGTTTCAGATTGGCTGAAAATAGCTATTAACTTTTCTCTTCTTTGAGATACAATTCACATGCCATAAAATTCACCCCTTTAAATTGTACAATTCAGTGATTTTTGGTGGGCTCATAAGGTTGTACAACCTCATGAACCACTCTGTAATTCTAGAACATTTTCATCATACCAGAAAGAAACCCCATACTTATTAGCGGTCACTCTCCAGCTGTTAACTTTTTTAATCTCCAGGTTCTCTATGAGACGAGAAGGTACGAAGTGGGTAGTGAAATTGATTTTTACCATAATTTGGAAAGAGAACTCAACTCAACACTCCTTTGTTCTCACACACACTGTGCTTTGTCTAACCACCTGCTGGGCATCCCCCTTAGAACATGCACTGCCTGAGGACAGGCATCCTGCCAGCTTCTTTTCCATAGCTCCAATACTAATATGGGGCCTGGTATACAAATGGTACTGAATACACTTGTTGGACGAAAGCATGTATAATTAATGAGTAGAACAAATGTTAATATTTATAAATTATAAATTGAGCATTCTGCAGTTGAACAACAGTCTTGGTCCAAAGTCTCTGGAATAAATACTTAGCACACAGAACACTTCCTGAGAACTCCCAGGGTACCAAACCTATTGTTGTGCTTGTATTCTTTTGTGTTTGCCTCTTAGAATTAACTTTCCAGTTGGTTTTTATAGATAAGGGGGAGAGTGACGTCCATAAACAGATTAATATATTCACTCGTCCATGTATATACTCATCCATCTTTCGTCCACTGACCCGTGTGGTGTGCCAGGCAGTTTCCTGTGCTAGGCGTAGGGATATAGAAATAAGATGAGGAAGAGATATGCAAAGAGCTAACAGAGCACATGCTTACAGCTGGAATGGAGCTCTGTGCAAAGCCAGTGGGAGCACTGTGCAACCCCCTGAGCCTGCCATGGGGAGTCAAGGAGGGTGGGTGTGCTCTGTGGGATGGGGGAACTCCTCTCGTTCTTCTCTCCCCCCATCATTCTATAATATAATGGTCTCCAAGGAGGAGAGGGCCTCCAATATCTAGTGGGCCACTGCTCCAGGGCATGGAGGGCTCGGTATGCTGGGTGAAGGTTTGGCATCACGTGGGGATGTGTCTTGGGATGCTTTTCCTGCCACAGGCCTGTGGAGATGGACCAGGGCTGGCCAGCTCAGGCTTGGGAGGAGGCCCAGGGAAGCAAGAGCACCTCTTGCTTTAAACACTCTGTTTAAACACTCTGTTTCCTATGTGGTAAGGTCAGATGGATCTAGAGGGACGGACATGACATCCCCGCCCTAACCTCCTGCCACCTTGAATGACTGGTCCAGGCAGCCGGGCAGTTCTGCTCTGGCCATTGCAGTGAACGTGCTTTCTCTCACTCTGCCTCTAATGCTTTTGTGCTTGCTTCTTCTCCCTGCTGGCGTGCTCAGGACTACCTTTCCTCATCAGTGGAGTGGTAAGATCTAAATACCAGGTGTGGGCTTAGGGGGATGGAAGAAAGAGGCTGCTCTGCTTGCTTTGATGCTACTGTCCTAGCTACTCCCAGCCCCATTGAAAAGAGACTTCTGTGTGGCTCAGCCCTGCTCCCCAGGGGCCAGCATTGAAGTTTAGGGCCAAAGCCTCAGAGTCAGATAGAAGGTTTCTGCACCCAGTCTTGTTCTCTTGACAATCATCTTCTCAGCAGCCTCTAGCATAGTAGATGTCTCTGCTGAGGACAGGATTGGGGTCAGGATCCTGTGTTCTTGCCACCAGTCTACCCATCACTCATTCCTAATGTCTGGGATAGCTTTGCCTAACTAAGTAAGTGTTTGCACAGGAGCTTAGAGTTTGGAGGCAACGTTGCATATGGAGACATAAGGCCTCCATGTTGACAGAGGCCTCTAGTTTTTATACCGTCATCTCTTTCCTAATTTCAGGTGTTTTAACAAGAATAAGTATTCTTGGTGGGAACAGATCTCAGGTTGAGTTGCTAGGAAAGCAAGCTGTCAAATACATTGGGAGCCAGAGCTTCCTTGAGGGCACCATGTGGCAGGAGATAGACAGGACCACACTGGGGCTGGATCCTGGAGGGTTGAGAGTGAGGATGCAAATCTGTTATCAGTGGGAGCCTGAAGGGGCATGGAAGACAGGACTGTCCTGTGCCTTAGGACGGTAACTCTGATGGTGCATAGAGGGAATGGCTGAGAGAACATTCATTCATTTAGGAGGCTGTTGCAATACTCTAGTACGAGGTAATTTTGGAGCAGTGGGGTTTCAAGTAGGATGAAGGCAAGAGAAATAAATCATGGCTGCAGGACTCAGAGGTCTCTGTACAAGGTGGCAAGGAGGAGTCTCTGTACAAAACTCTCTGGACAAGGTGGCAAGGAGGAGTCCTGACTTCATTGAGATGTTCTCTGAATTGCAGGGCGAGAAGGGAGAGCCGGGTGCCATCCTGACAGAGGACATTCCTCTGGAAAGGCTGATGGGGAAAAAGGTAATTATGTCACCAGACCCTGCAGGCACATATCTGCCCCAGCTTTGCATCTTTGTTTCTGTCCCAAACAGTGACAAGTATATATCTTCCTGTTTTAGGGTGAACCTGGAATGCATGGAGCCCCAGGACCAATGGTAAGTCAGAGCGTCTCTCAGCTGGATCTGGGCTGGGGTTTGAAGCATTTTTCATACTTTGATTTGGTTAGATTTAGTTGTCCCGGTTATGAAAATTCAAAGATGTGGCAAAGATGTGCAAAATGTGCATATACTAGGGTAAGGCTGACTACAATTAAATAAACTTTTCAGTGATTTAACACAATAGCAGCTTATTTCTCGCTCTTGCAAATTCCACTGTGGTTGTTCTCAGCTTGGCATCTCTCCTCCAAGAAGTGACTCAGGGATCCAGGATGCTTCCATTCTGTGATTCTGCCATCTTGTGGATTCAAGGTCGCACAGGAGCTAGCAGGCTGAAGTTGGGGAGGGGGAAGAGATTGTGAAAGATAATAAACATCACTTCTGGCACATTCTGTAAGCCAAAACCCAGACGCTTGTGGCCTCAAAATGTAGTTTAGCTGTGTGTCCAGGAAGGAGAGGTGCACTTGCAGTTATACCACAGAACTTGCCAGCTAAAGATGACCAATTTCCCAGGAAACCCTCAAAGGAACCCCACAAAACCTCTCTGGGATTTTTGATTCTGGTTGTGAATATGCCACTCATTTGCTGTGAGACCTTGTGCAAGCCCTCTTCTCTCTCTGGGCTCCTGTTTTCCCATCTGCACATTGAAGAGACTGAATTAGTACTAAATGATATTAGGGCCCTTCTGGCCTTACGGCTCTGGGAATCCATAACCCATCTGGGCTTCTGAGCAGCTCTTGCCATTTCTCTCAAGGGCGAACCCTAAACTTACTTCCCTGTGTAGAACATTCTCTATGGGTCAGACTGTACTGATGCTTCACATAGGTCATCTCATTTCATCTTCACAACCCCAAGAAGTGACTCTCAGAATCCCCATTTTATAGATGAGGAAACTAAGGCCCAAGGAGGTTAAGTAACCTGCCCATGTGACACAGCTTGTAAGTGGCAGAGTGGGGATTTGAGGCCAGCCAGTCAGGCTTTAGGTCCAGTCTCTTCTCAGATGAACCTCACTGCCTCTAATGAACATTTGAAACATTGAACATTTGAAACATTTTGGGCTAGAGAATTGTATACAGGTTTGTTTGGTTGAAGTTGGATCTCAGGTGTGGGGAGAAAGGACCTCACATTTCTGTAACAGACTTGTATCCTTGAAGAATGGCCTGTAACTTTCGAGGTGAATCCTTCAAAAGACCTTCTGAGGCCTTTGGTCCCTGAAGTTAAGAAGAGTGGACACCCAAAGTCAGGTAGCTAAGACAGACTGAGAGATTCTTGTATTAACTACTGGTTAACCACCTACTAACCTCCAATACTGTGGAAAATACAAATAGTTAGTGGTGGGGGTCAGCAGGCTGCTGCAGATGCCATGGCGGTGGTTCCTACTGAAGCCCAGCTTGGACACAGCTTGCCAAACACAGGCAGTAAGTGGCACCTTCTTCTAATTTGCATGAAGGTGCTGTGTGGGCTAGCTGTGGCCCTAGTGACCAGTGTAGCTTATAACGCCTTCTCAAATTCACTGGTGTCCTGTTACACAAAGTGTAGACCATGCACCAGCATCACTGACATCACTTGGGAGCTTCTTAGAACTGTAGAACCTCAGGCCCCACCCAAGACATACTGGATCTGCATTTTTAACAAGATCCAGGTGATTCTTAACACACATTGATGTTTGGGAAGTGTATTAGTCCATTCTCACGCTGCTATGAAGAAATACCAAGACTAGATAATTTACAAAGAAAAGAGGTTTAATTGACTCCTAGTTCCGCATGGCTAGGAGGCCTTAGGAAACTTACAATTGTGGTGGGAGGCATCTCATCACAGGGCAGCAGGAGAGAGAATAAGTGCCAGCAGGGGAAATGCCAGACACTTACAAAACCATCAGAGCTAGGGAGAACTCATTCACTGTTATGAGAACAGCATGGGGAAATCTGCCTCCATGATTCGATTACCTCCCACCACGTCCCTCCCATGACATGCGGGGGTTGTGGAATTACAATTCAAGAAGAGATTTGGGTGGGCACACAAAGCCAAACCATATCAGGAAGTGTTGCACTAGAACATACCAACCAAGTGGCCTGTGCCCTGTCAACCCCATCTGTCTTTGCTTTTCTTTCCCTAAGAGTAATACAGACTGGGTACTTTACGTACTGACCCTGTTTCAACTCAGTTTTTGTTTGTCATTTTTCAGAGCATGGCTATGTATGTTTATGGTAGGATGAAAAGGGACTTGGAGTGCCCCAGGCTTAAATCAGTCATTCTTCTGGGAGACACAGCAGACCCAGCTACAGGGTTGGAAAGGCGCAGACTGAGGGTAGAATTTGTTCTAGGAAGACATACATCATCAGTGGTGTTGTCTGTCAACCAAGTAGTTTACATCCCAGACATTAGAAGGCAGGAGGGTTCCTGAAGGTTGCAACAGAACAGTGGTTCTAGAAGCCTGTGGTCCTGGAAAGCCAGCACTGAAATAGGGTCCATGGTCTGGAACTCAGCTGGATGACTGGGGTGTCAGACCAAGACTCTGGTTCCTAGGGGCAGGTTAGAGCAAGGAAGGAACCAAATCCTAGAGTGGGTTATCAGGCCAGGCTGGCCTGAGGGGCGAGGCAGGGCTGCGTTATTCAGAATGGGGGATGCGATAAGCCCTGGGACATAAGACCTAGGGCAGAGGTCCATGTTCTGGGCTGGCCCAGCACCTGGCTACCAGGGAGCTGAGGCCCTGAGCTACTGACCTCTTGCTCCTTAGTTAACCCTGACTGCGAGGGGCTGGGTCCAGAGTCTGGGGTGGGTTGGAGCCTGCAGGAAAGCAGGGGATGGTGTGGGTTGAGCAGGTGCTTCTAGCTGAGAGCGGAGAGGCTGGAGACAAGGAGGCCGCAGGCAGGGGCTTCTACCTGGCTCCCTGCCCTCCTTCCTCCTGTCAGTGGATCATCGTCACCACTGCCTGCAAAAGCGGGCTTGCACTCCTCATTTCCCTGAACCAAGACTTTCTGTTCTTTTCTAATCTGGCATTTGTTTTGCCTCTAGGGGCCCAAAGGACCACCAGGACATAAAGGAGAATTTGGCCTTCCCGGGCGACCTGTAGGTATCAGTGTTCATTGGACAGGCTGGAGGGGGAGGACACGTGGGCCAGGCTGGTCTGTGGGCGGAGGGTTTACTGAGGTGTCTGCTGTGGGTTCCAGGGTCGCCCAGGACTGAATGGCCTCAAGGGTACCAAAGGAGATCCAGGGGTCATTATGCAGGTGAGTCACCCTGGGGATGGAGCCGGAGGTTGGTGTCCAGAGAGGGTGAGAGAGTGTGGGGTCCACAGAGCAGGGCCTGTGGACTGAATGTTCAGGAATGTTGTTCTTCTTCCTTCACTGCCACTGCCAAAGGTCCTCCCACCCAGCCCTGTCCTTCAGCTCCCTCTCAGGAGGGTCCTGCCACCTAAAACACCTTAGTGGAAAATAGACTTTCTTGTGTAGGACCCAGAGGGAGTAGGGGAGAAAGGGATCTGGTCATGCTCAGAAAATGTGGTTCCAAATCCCAGGGCCTCTAACTCTAGGGTAATGTCACCTCTCCCCTCCTTTACACAGTCCCAGGGATCACTCACATCACTAGGGGCTCAGTGAGTGCTGGAAGTCAGTATCAAAGGCAGATCAGCTACTTAGGTGGGGCCTCCCAGGTTGGCAAACACTGGGCAGCAGCAGGGACCCTGGTCTAGAAGAAAAAAGCCAATGTTTATTCAGCAGCTGCTGTGTACCAGACACTGTGCAAAGTGATTTTGTTTTGTTTTGTTTTGTTTTGTTTTATTATTATTATACTTTAAGTTCTAGGGTACATGTGCACAACATGCAGGTTTGTTACATATGTATACATGTGCCATTTTGGTGTGCTGCACCCATTAACTCGTCATTTAGCATTAGGTATATCTTCTAATGCTATCCCTCCCCCCTCCCCCCACCCCACAACAGTCCCCGGAGTGTGATGTTTCCCTTCCTGTGTCCATGTGTTTTAAGGAGAGTTTCTCATTTAGTCTTGGTGATAACTATTGCATGAGATACTATGCAGGGATCTTGTTTTACATAAGAGGATACCAGGGCCTCTAGAAGTCAAGGCACCCACCCAAGGTGACCCAGCTAATAATCCCCAAACCAAGATGTAAACACAGCTCTAAGTCTATTGCTGCTTCTGTTTGTGCCACACTGCTTTTGCTTTGTATGCCCAGAAATCCAGAAATACTATTTTCCTGAAGCATTAGGGGTTGAGTCTCACTCACCAAGCCCACTGGAACCGGCAGGCAAACCAGACACTGACGCCTTCATTTAGAGTGATCAATACACTTTCTGCATGAACTAAACTCTTCATGCCTGCCCTCAGAGCCTCACCTCTCCTGCTGCAAGCTCCTGCCTCTAGGCTTAGAGGAGAAACTGTTGCATGGTACTAAGGCCAAGCTGGCTTCACTTTGAAAATGACTGTGCTATCTAACAAGAGTTTTGCATTTATGCTTGCATTTCTGAGACACATTTCCTCTGGCAATATATCACATGAGGGACCCCCACAGTCCATTCCCACCCGTATACTGGGAATGCACTGATAGGGGAGCCTTAGGCTCAGTATCAACTGGGTGTCAGAATCTGAGTTGCAATCTCAGTTCTGCTGTAAGTTGCTGTGTGGTCTTGAGCAGGTCACCTCCCCTCTCTGGGCCTCATTAGCTGCATGTGTTAACCAGAGACAATACTTGTTGCCCTGCCATCTTCCCTATGGTTTGTTGTGAAGATACAGTGAGGCCAGGGACATAGAAGTGCTCTGTGGCTCCCTGAGCAACCTGAGAGAGAAGTTGGTTGGCTTCAGCAGACCCTCCTTTCCTTCCTCTGGAGGAAGTGTCCTGTGGCTGCCCCTGCATTCACAACAACCTGAACTAATGGAATGGCCTTTTTTTCTTCCTTCAGGGCCCACCTGGCTTACCTGGCCCTCCAGGCCCCCCTGGGCCACCTGGAGCTGTGATTAACATCAAAGGAGTAAGTTGGCACGCAGTGGGAAGACCTTCCCGATTGGCCTAAGCTGGAGTCAGGTGTCCTGTTGACCTCACCTCTCTTGTTCTCATTACCCACAGGCCATTTTCCCAATACCCGTCCGACCACACTGCAAAATGCCAGTAAGTAGCAATCACTGCCTTAAAGAGCAGGCTTTGGCATGGATAGCAACTTGGAGAAAAAGATCAGTCTTTGTCTTGGGCCCTTTCTATCCTCAAATGTCCTCTCTGATGTCTTCTGTCCCCTAAGTGTAGACCCTCAAGTGACTAGAAGCTTTTAGATAACAGGTCGTGGCAATGAAATATACTGGATCTTCTAAGGGTGCACACACGGTGAGGTGCTTCTTTTCATACAATCTAAAAAGCAGTGTCTTTTGTTATTGCGACCACATTAGCTTCATGCTTGGAGTAGTATAAAACTGGGAAAAATAGACCCGTTAGAAAACATAGATTAGAAAACAATCCATGCCAACCCATGATCTTTGCATTGAGAACTTTGTAACTAACTATGCTGCCCTTTCCCAGTGATCACATCACTGCACCGCACACAACACTGACAGGCAGGGCTGATCTCTCCCATTTTATGATAATGAAACAAACTGTGACTCAGAGAAGCTCACTGGCTTGTCCAAGGTCATGGGACTTGACTGAGCTGGGATCATAACTCAGGTCTCCTAACCACCAGGCAGCAGGTGCAGACACTGGGATGCTGAGGGGTCAGGCACTTGCCCGGCCCCCCAGCCATTGAGCAGCTCTGTCCCTGATTTTTTACCCACAGGAAGAGAGTCAGATTTCTGTGAGAAAACCCAGTGGGGAGGGTGGGCCTTGTGTACAGGCCTTAGTCACAGAACCATGCATAATCATTCTCTCATTCATTCGACAAATATTTATTGAGCACTTATGCAGTGCTAAGGACTCTGCCAGGCCCTGGGGACACAACGGTGAACTAGACGGATGTGGCCTCTGCTCTCAGGAGCTTGCAAATTACAATTTAGAAATATTCTTTGAGGTGAGTTCGTAATTGATCCCTGTTGGAGGTGATGTTAAGGCTTGGGTCATAGCCTTCAAAATGACGCAGTTTGGCCGCGTATTTGCCCAGACATCTGGCTAAGTCTAAACGTTGAGGCATCCAAGTCTGCAGCTCAGGGCCTGGGAACTCTGGCCTAGAGGGCAGGACCCACCTATGTCAGGTGACTAACGGGCTCCAGGCTCTACATGGAGACAACAGCAACCCAGTATGTGTTTATATCCATGGCCTGAAGAGAAACATAAAATCTCAGTGCTGGAGTGACCTTCCTGGGCAGTCGCTGCATCCCACCTGCTTATCACACAGGAGAGACCACACAGCCCAGAGAAGCAAAAGGCTGGCTCCAGGTCACACAGTGAGTCAGTACAGCAGCCTCTCCTAACTAACATGATTTCAGGCCTCAAATGAGCCAGCCACAGAACAGCACTTGACAAATTTTAGAGTGCGGTAAAAATGCTACTGCAATTATCATGACCTGCACCAGGACCTCTCACAGTAACCATGGCCTTTGGGGGTCGTGGGGATACCTAAAAGAAGGAAAAGATAGGCTCAAAGCATTTTTAGTAAGATTTTTTACTTCATATTGCCTGGCTAGATACTGTAGGAGCTGGGTCATAGACGTTTCTTGTCCAACTCTCAAAATGGACATTTTGAAACAGAAATGCTTCCTCTTACAGCCAGCATCTCATGAGCCCCTTCTAGTTTCAGCTCCTTCCAACACCCTAATCATTTACAGCTCATGTCTGTAGTGGAGAAACTTTATCAGCATAGCCTGCAAGATAACAGCTTGGAGCTGCAACTTTCATCCTTAACTTAGAAATGTTTTTCCTGGTAGATTTCCTCCCCACTCCCATCTTTTCTTGATGGCCCCTGAGCAGCTTGTGACCCTCCACCCGTAAGCACAGAAGGATTTTGGCACCATACGGATGACTTTGATTCTACACATCAATTGGGAAGAAGCCAGGTTTCAAGTGGCTTTGTCTGAATAGAGAAGGAAATGCAGGAATCTGGGGAAAACTGGGAAGGAATATTATCCAGAACAGCCTGGACTCCAGACCCCTGAAACTTAATGAGGTGTCCAGAATAGCACCCCCAATCTAATGATAACCCCCTTTGCTAATTACCTGCCCATGATGCTCATCTTTGATTACATGCAATAGCTAAGCTAATGGCTGACCCGGTTTCACGGTTGGGCATGTCACTTGCTCGGATGCTTGACCTTACACATGAATCAATCCCAACTGATAAGAAAGGAAGACAAGAATGTTCACAGTTGGCCAAACCACCACTGCCACGATTTGTTGTCTTAAAGCTTTGGGCTTCCTTATGGCTGAGTTTTTTGGCCATTAGGCCTCAGCTCTGTCTCCCCAGCTCAACTACATCATGGGTCTCCCAGTTTAAAGCCTGGGATGTCTGTGCATTGACAACTCCTGGGGACTCAGGGCTTTGGGGGACTCCAGAGCCAAAGGAAGGCCTGACTCTGTGGCATTGCCTCTTTTGTCACATGCCCCCGGGACAGTGGCTGCCTGTTTCTGCAAACACCACGGCAGAGCTTGCAGTGCCTAACCTGGCCTTCCTCTCTTTCCAGGTTGATACTGCTCATCCTGGGAGTCCAGAGCTCATCACTTTTCACGGTATACACTCCCTTCTTCATCATTTGTTTCTCTGGGACATCTCCTTGAGGAAGATGGTTTTCCTTTGCCCAGTGCAGGGCGCAGACTAGGTGGTCAGGAAGGTCTAACTGGATGCTGTAGGGGTGGGGATGGCAGCTGAGCCAAGGCTGTGGGGCTGTGCACCTCTCTTTGGTTTGGTCACACATGTGCCTATTCTGCTCATCTTAGCTGAGCCTCCTAGTTGGCAACAAGCACTCTGTTCTTTCAATTGTTCATTTGTTCATAAAACATTCACTGATGCCTATTCCTTACTTGGTATGATCTGCACTGGGCTGAGGCAGATTCCAAGAGCCTGAGAAGCGCTGTTCCTGCCTCTCAGGCTCTTGGAACCTGTTAAGTGAAACTACTTTAAAAACAATTATAGTGCATTATACTAAGAGCTGATCAGGGAAGGGCCGTGGGAGCTCAGGAGACCCTTGCCTCGGTGTCCATGCAACTTTGTAAGCATCTCCTGGGAGCTTGTTAGAAATGCAGAACTTCAGGCCCCACCCTAGACCTGCTGAATCAGAACCCGTGTTTTAACCATCTCCCGGGTGAGGTGAGTGCACAGCAAAGTGTGAGAAATGCTGGCTCAGAGGGTTTGAGTAGTAAATGTCAGCATATTCATAGCCACATGCAGGAGCTTTGCTATGGCACATCAGAAAGGCACAGGCCAGGGGATGGGGCCTGCAGGTGAGCAGTCACTCTGGTCCCCCTGTCCTCACACACCCTGTCACGCCACTTGGGGTTTAAATAGAGGAAGGTCTTTTTCCTCCAATATTCACTTTCAGCTTGGCTGTGTCACCCCGGCCCACGAGGTGGTGGTCTCCCTGATGATATCTAGCCCTGTGGTTTTTCTGTCACTTCTGCTTACCAAGCCCAGCCTGTTTGCAAACTCTATGCTTAGATTCAGTTCAAGGCTCCCCTTTCCCCTGATGCAAGGTGGACCTTGGGGAGCAGGGGATGGAGCTGGATTTGTTTTCTCAGATTCCCCAATTGTTCCTCTTCCCTGTGAGCCTCCCCTGGAAGGAGGGGGAGGGAACAGATCTTTCTGGATGTGACAGCTCCTAGTGAGCAATCATCCTGCTTACTGTGTGCAGCTACTACTGCTCCGGTTGGTGCTGGTGCACTTGCTGTCTTCTCTTCTGATCACTGCTGTCTGTGGGCTCAGTGTGGGTGAAGGAGGCCCCATGGGCCCCACTGCGCAGGTCATTGGTCTCACACAGCATTCCCAGGGTTGGAGAGGCCTCGACAGATGTAGTTGCCGCTCCCTACTGACCCCCTGTTGACACCATCATTCCTGTGATGCTCATATTCCCTCCCCTTCATTGAGAAAGCCTGAGTCGCTAGCCTCATCTACACTTTGTGGCCCCATCTCTAGGCTCAAGACCATTGGTGGGTTGATCTGTCACACCTCTTGGGAACGAGGAATTCAAAGACCTAGCGTCCACCCTACCCATCAAGGTGGGGAAAGGGAACCACTTCCCTTCCCAAGCAGTGATCTCCCAAAAGGCTTTCCTCCATGCCCCCTCCCATATAAAGAGTTGAGGGGAAAGGTGGGGATGGAATGCCAGTTCTGCAGAAACAGTGTTTCTCACTAGTCCTGTGGGGATGTACAACACTTCATGGTGGGCATTCTCACAACTTTGTACGTAGAAAACTTAGCGCCCTTGGTTGTCCTGTGCGGGCACTCTTGGGAGAGCCCTCCTGTTCCCTTACAACCCCATGCTACACAGGCCTAGATGAGATGAGTCTGGAAGATTGACATGGTGCTGAGTCTCTGTCTTCATTTGTGGCACTGACCAAGCCAGGGTTAGCCGCAGCCTCTGCTGCACTCACGGGATGCGCTGCTGGAACCTCAGTGAGAGCACATATTTCATCTTGCCTTGCGTTACTGTGAGCTCTGTCTGTCTCCCAGTAGACTGAGCTTTTCAAGGTTGAGAATGTGTCTGAAGCATCTACCTCTGCCCTCTTTATGATTTTACACTTGCTGATCTCTCAGGAGGGCTTTGTTTGAGTGGACTTTGCTAAATGAGCTTAGTTTGAAAACCTGTCTCAGAAAGGTTTTATATAGAAAGAAGGTGATTTTCCATTTTTTTTTAACATGTATGTGTTTGGTGGCAGGTGTTAAAGGAGAGAAAGGATCCTGGGGTCTTCCTGGCTCAAAGGGAGAAAAAGGCGACCAGGGAGCCCAGGGACCACCAGGTATTCCAGCTCTTGTTCTCAATCTTGCCTTTGATTTTTTGCTCCTGAGAACAAATGCGACTGAGAAATGTGACCTAGCCAGAGGGTAAGACTAATGACATTCCACCCTGACCACAGGCTCCACTGGTTTCTAGTGAAAACCAAGCATGGGCCTGGCATGTCCAATAGGGAACATTGTCAAGAGAGACCAGAAAATCCAATCATTCATCTTTTATATGCAAAACAATGTCCAAAGAAGGCCAGGGACCTACCTGGGATCCCACAGTGTCTGGGTTGATGGGCCCACAGTAGCTAGCACCTGTTTCTGCTTCCAAGCAGACTCTGTTAGCCAACCCAGTGCAGGCTCACATCCACTAAGATGTAACTGTGGTTGCCAACTTAGAGACTTTTATTTTAAAATTTCTGAAATTACAATCGTGAATTTTACGAAGCATTTCTTTTTCAGGTCCTCCACTTGATCTAGCTTACCTGAGACACTTTCTGAACAACTTGAAGGTGAGTATTTCTCTACCAATATTTGGCCTGTGTTTTTCAGGTTTTGGTTTATGTCAGAGACTGAGTTCATCCCACTCTTACTGAAATATTCCTGTGTTCTCTGCTTCCAGGGGGAGAATGGAGACAAGGGGTTCAAAGGTGAAAAAGGAGAAAAAGGAGACATTAATGGCAGCTTCCTTATGTCTGGGCCTCCAGGCCTGCCCGGAAATCCAGGCCCGGCTGTGAGTAGAGACCCCTCCAAGTCATCTACCCCAAAGACTTACAGCTTTCCCGGAAGCCCCCAATGGGACTAGGCAGTTAGGGCTAGTCATTGTACTATAAGCTGGAGGCAGAGCTTGGGGATTAGCCAGCTCTTTCCCCATCCTTGTTGATTGATGGGCAGGTTGGCTGAGGTCCCTGGAGAGAAGGTAGCTGGTCAAGGCCACATGAAGGTAGGTAACTTCCAGGCCATTAGTCACACTGCCTTATTCATGACATTGGTGGAAAATTCACTCCACACAAAGAATGATTAATGGTGAATGCATCAGATAACAGAAGCAGAATGGAAGGTAAGGAGATATTTTTAGAGGAGCTGTTTGATTCTTCTGAAATTTTATCAAAGGAGCTCCTAGATAGGTGTGGTTTTCCTAGGATGAGAGATTTTTCCAGGTGAAAGGAGAGAAAGTCAAGCTGTGCCCCCAACAAGAATATGACTAGATCATTGACCTTTGGTCCCAGAGCTCACTGTGAGGGTAGAACCAGCAAAGCCAGAGATCAGAGTTCTGCCTCTAGCTCTGCATCTAATTTGCTTCATGATCTTGGGCAAGTCCTTTCACTTCTCTGGGCTTCAGTGTCTCCATCTGTGAAATGCAAAGGCTAGACTAGATGATCTCCAAGGTCCCTTCTGCCTCCAGGAGTCTCTGGGGTTCTCTGTAGAATCATTCAACATAATGACTGGGCTGCCATCTTGGAGGCCTTACCCCACCTTGAATTGTGCCCAAGATTGAGGATAGTAATAACAATAGCTGGTGTTTATTGATTTCTTTTAAATATTCTCATAAAAGGACTAGATGGGACTTCGAGTGATGAATGATGCTTTCTCTCTGTTATTGTGTGCTTGCCTTGACAGGGCCAAAAAGGGGAGACAGTCGTTGGGCCCCAAGGACCCCCAGGTGCTCCTGGTCTGCCTGGGCCACCTGGCTTTGGAAGACCTGGTGATCCTGGGCCACCGGGGCCCCCGGGGCCACCAGGACCTCCAGCTATCCTGGGAGCAGGTTAGTGCCGTAAACAGTGCCCTTGTTCATGCTGTCCCTACCATTGTGTTCAAGGTCACAGCATCTGGGTGGCTTGTCACAGCTGCACTGCCTAACAGAGGGCTTTCCTGGATACCGCCTTCTTTCTTTTTTTTTTAATTGAGATACAATTTGCACATCATAAAATTCACCCACCTAAAGTGTCTAATCCAGTAGTTTTTAATATATTCATGAAGTTATGCAGTCATCACCACTGTCTAATTCTAGACCATTTTCATCACACCAAAAAGAAATTTCATACCAATTAGCAGTTGTTCTCTTTTCTCTCTTTCCCTCTCCTCCACCAGATCTGGGCAACCATGAATCTACTTCTGTCTCCAGATTTGCCTATTCTGGACATTTCATATAAATGGAATCATATAATATATGGCCCTTTGAGTCTGGCTTCTTTCACTTAACACAGTGTTTTCAAGGTTCACCCATGTTGCAGCACGGAGTTCATTCCTTACTGTGGCCAAATAATATTGCATTGTATAGGATATACATTTTGTTTATTCATTAATCTGTTCATGGACATTTGGGTTGTTTCTACTTTTTGGCTATTATGAATAATGCTACTATGAACTTTCGTGTACAAGTTTTTATGTGAACATGTTTTCCGTTCTCTTCAGTATATACGTAGGAGAAATTGCTGGGTCATATGGTAACTCTATGTTTAACTTTTTGAGGAACTGCCAGACTGTTTTCCGAAGGAGTCACAACATTTCTCATTCCCATCAGCAGTGGCAGTGTATGAGGGGGTTCCAATTTCTCCTCCCATATTATGGTATCCTCATTGTATCTTTTTGATTATAGCCATCCTACTTGGTATGAAGTGATATCTCACTGTGGTTTTGGTTTGCATTTCCCTAATGACTAATGATGTTGAGCATCTTTTCACATGTGAGTGGAAACTTCCTGGCTGCTTTGTCAATGCCTTAGGGGCGTGAGAACCTGTCTTAATGACCAGCAGTGACTGGAACTCTGTATATAAAAATCTATTCATCCTTTAGAGCCTCACCTCCTCATATGCAAAACTGGCAAAATTAAAGAAAATCTCTATGTAATGAGCATGTATCAGATGCCAGGCATTTTGCTAATCACTTTGCTATGGTATTTTATTGAAACCTCACAACAACACTTTAAAAAAAGCATTAACATCCCCATTGTACAGGTAAGGAAAGTGAGGCCCAGAGACATTTAGGAACCTTTCCAAGGTCACACAGCTAATAAGTGACACCAACAGGATTCAGACCCAGAGCAGTGTAGCTCCAAAGCCTGTGTTATTTCTACTATGTCCATTGGAGGAGACAATAATAGCAGCAATAATAGCATGAAGGCATACTTTTTTGTTGTTTGGCTTGGCAGGAGCCAGGTATGGTGGAAGCATACCTGGAAAGAGACCTACAGAGTCCTTGGCATAAGGAGAGCTTTACACAGGAGGTGACTTTGGGGCTGGGGCTTTGACTTAGCCTTGGATCTTTTGGCTGCAAGTGATAGAAACGTAACTCAAAGTAGCTCAAGCAAAGGGGAAATGTACTGGGTGTGAAGGAGGGAGTGAACAGTCAACTTGTGGGAGAGGTAGATAAACAGCTGGACCTCAGGAACAGCCAGAGCCAGGGACTCAACCCCTGCAAGGATTCTCTGGCCATCTCTTGTCTCGGCTTCTCTCTGCATGCAGTTTCACGCTTCCTCACCACAAACCACATCCTCTGCACAGCGGGAAATATGGTTACTGACAACTTACAGCTTCCACTGTCAGCTAGAAATCTTGAACTTCTTTTACTATTTTAGTTTGAAAAGTCCTGGGATGGGGAAGTCCTAGAGAAGGGTCCTGATGGGCCTGACTTGGGTGAGGTACCCAATCTTGGACAAATCACCTATGACCAGGAGGTCGGATCACATGAGAACATGGTAGCTCTTTCTGGAACCAAATGGTTGTAGAGGTGAAGGGAAGGTCCCAAGAGAAGGAGATGAGGACACTGGTCCTACAAAGGAAGAAGGTGCCGAGTGTATGGAACCACAGGTGCCCACACAGCCATGAGGGAGGAGTAGGACTACAGGAGGTGGAGGCATATTACAGGGTGAGTGCAAGGTGGAGAAAAACTGTTGTCCACAGCAACACTACATTAGGGCTGCCGGGATGCCTTGCTGCATTGAGCAAGGATTGCTTCTCACATAATGTATAGCAATTCAGTTTACAAAACACTTTCATGGCCATTATCCCATGTAGTCTTCACAGCAACCCTGGGAGGAAGATAAAACAGATATTATTATAAAATTCATCTCACGGATGAAGACACTGAAGCTCACAGAGGTGAAGAGACTTACTTGAGGTCACAAATTCTATTAGGAGGCATGGCTGGGATCCAAATCCGAGTCCACTGGCCCTCTATCCACTAGACATTTGCCACCTGTGTGTGGGTGTTCAAGTCCTATGTTGGAACTGAACATTTGCTTGCAACGACCTGAAGGACTGTATAATTTTACTGGGGCTTGTAAAAACACCCTTAATTCTGCCAAGAGCTTGGCAGATTTGGAGGAGTTGTCGGGGGTAGGGTGAGCAGAGGATGAGAGAGGTAGAAGAACAGCCAAAGGAATAGTTGTAATTATACTACTTTATGTTTGCCTAAAGTAAGGGCTTTTCAGTTGAGGAATCATAGACTCCTAGAGAGTTCAAGGATATACCTCCAGGATTTGTCATCCCAGTAATATTTTTTTATAGAATTATGTGTGCATTTCTCTGGGAAAGAGGGCACTAACCTTGATCTGATTTTTAAGGGCACTGTGACTCTTCAAAAGCTAAGAGCTCCTGGCCGGATGAATGCTGTACATGTACAATTTTCAAAGCACTCAGTTCTCACCGCAGCCCAGGGAAGAAGAAATGCCTATTTTACATTTTGCAGATGAGGAAACAGCTTTGGAGAGCTTGCTGTTTCCTCGAGATCACACAGCTAGGAATGGACAAACTTAAGGACTTGAGTCCATGTCTCTGGCCCCAAGGCCAGGGCTACTGTCACTGCACCACCCTGGTCTCCTCCCACTCCCTAGAGCCTTCTCTTCCTCTTTCTGAGCCTGCTTCCTCTGTTCAGTGTCACATGCTTGTCTCTTGGGTGAAATAAGTTATATGAGTCAGGACATTTTTGAATGCAAGTGACAAAATATTCAACTTAAGCTGGCTTTTATAAAACAACCACAAAAGGAATTGATTCACTTATGAAACGGAAAAGCACTAGCCATGGCTTCATCCAGGGTAACAATCAAGAATCCCAGCTCTTCCCTGAACCAGTCAATGTGGCCTAAGTCACACGCTGGGGGCACAGCACCCAAGATACAGGTGGAAGTTGGGATGCTTTGTGGCGCTGTGAATGGGGTTGAACACACTTCTCTCCGGGAGTCAGCTGATACCTCAGACATTTTTCAGAGTGTGGTTTTTGTGTAACTTCTCTTTTCTGTTTTGTCTTAGCTGTGGCCCTTCCAGGTCCCCCTGGCCCTCCAGGACAGCCAGGGCTTCCCGGATCCAGAAACCTGGTCAGTATTATCATCAGTGTGTAGTCATCATTCCATTTGGGATAGATATACTTAAAACTCTGCCTACGATCTCCTGTGTCTGACATCCCTTGGGGATCAGGCCTTCATGATAGTAGGCTTGGTGCAATTCCATAAATAGTAGAAGGGATTTGTTATCTATTTGGATGACTTATTAAGTAAAAAGACGTGAAAAAACAAAATCATGTATATGTAAGTTCCACCATTCGAATCCTTAATTGACTAAGTTATAACAAGAACCAATCATATTACTTATATATTTTTATATATATATATATATATATATTTTTTTTTTGCTGGATGAGGGGTGGACGGGGTCTCACTCTGTCACCCAAACTGGAGTACAGTGGTGAGATCACGGCTCACTGCAGCCTCAACCTCCCTGAGCTCAGGTAATCCTCTCATCTCAGCCTCCAGAGTAGCTGGGACTACAGATGCACACTACCACACCTGGCTAATTTTTTTTTTTTTTTTTTTGTAGAGACAGGGTTTTTGTTACATTGCCCAGGCTGGCCTTGAACTCATGGGCCACCAAGGTGATTCTCCCACCTTGGCCTCCCAAAGTGCTGGGAGTACAGACACGAGCCACCACGCCTGGCCACCAATAATAGTATTTCAAAAAGCATAAACCTGCTCGGGTGCGGTGGCTCACTCCTGTAATCCCAGCACTTTGAGAGGCTGAAGCAGGAGAATCACTTGAGTCTAGGAGTTCAAGACTAGCCTGGGCAACATAGTGAGATCCTGCCTCTACAGAAAAATGTAAAAATTAACTGGGTGTGGTGGTGCATATCTGTAGTCCCAGCTACTTGAGAAGCTAAGGATCACTTGAGCCTGGGAAGTCGAGGCTCCAGTGAACCATGACTGTGCCACTGCACTCCAGCCTGGGTGAAAAAGCAATACCCCATCTCTAGAAAAAAAAGAAAAAACAAAACAACAAAAGCCCAAGAGCATAAACAATGTTACAACAGGTCCTTGTGCTGGTCAGATTTACTTGGATAATTCAGTCTTCTCCATTCTGCCAAAGAACATCTCTGGCACATTCGTTACCCTGCAGTTCGTTGGAACAAGACATAGCACTCCAAGATTACTGTAATGCACAGAAAAATGGACAAATACTTCACAAGGATGTCAGGAGTCCAAAAATGCTCTTTGATCTTTGCTGGATGTTAGTTGCAAAATTTGGCTGCCAAAAGAAAGAACTGTCCTACATATGATGGAATTCTGATATTTGGTTCCCTTGGGGATATCTAAGTCATTTTGATGCACAAAGCCATTATCTTCAAGGCTAGGTGAAAATTAATATTTTATAATCTTTCTCAGTTACAATGAAAAATAAAAACTCTCTTGGCCGTTATTTCTTTGAGATTTGATGCTATTCAATAGATTTTTGTAGCTTCTGTATGTGCTTCTAGATATGCCAAATGGCTGTCTAATCTTTGGCACTTTTCTAGGCAGAGAAATTACAGACCTCCATTTTCTATCATGCATTTAATGTAACTACCAAGCTAGACAAAAAAGATTTAAGACCTTAAGTATAGTTGCTCACTTGCTTGCCTTTCTTATTCCAAATGAAAAATTTGAAACTCTTCAAGGACCAGCATGAAGTAACACCATTTAACCATGTTAGTGCCACCAAGTAGCTTAAAAAAATAGAAGTGGTAAAACTTACCAGTGCTTTTGCTAATACCCAAACCAAAACAAAGATAACTCCATTGACAATTTGTAAATGTCTTTATACTCACATAATATTGTCATTTTTGTTTTAATTCATTTATTATAAGTTAGATTTGTGTTTCAAAGTATACATGTTTTTGTTTTATCAAGAAGAATGCCCTTTAGTTACTAATGAAGGTATATACCTCTATCTGGCACATTAACAAGCCTCTTTATTGAGTATCTGGGGACGGCTCCTAGTTGACTTTACAGAGAGGCCAGGTTATCAGATGGTGCCATTCCTCTAATGATAATGGCAGTGTTTGGAATTTAAATGATCTGACAGGTCACAGCATTCAGCAACATGGATGACATGCTGCAGAAAGCGCATTTGGTTATAGAAGGAACATTCATCTACCTGAGGGACAGCACTGAGTTTTTCATTCGTGTTAGAGATGGCTGGAAAAAATTACAGGTAATTTCTAAACTTCCTTTAACACACTGCCTTCAAATACCCTCTAAAAATAATAATCTACTCCCATAAATGCCATTTTTTTCTGTTTTGAAATGGGAGAAGTTTGTAATTGATCTTTCATTTCAATGTACTGTTTTTCTTAAAGCTGGGAGAACTGATCCCCATTCCTGCCGACAGCCCTCCACCCCCTGCGCTTTCCAGCAACGTGAGTAGTTACCCTGTTGGACTGCTCATGCATTCATTTATCAGCATTTCCTGAGTCCTCCTTGGTATCTAGCACCAAGCTCTCCAAACTCTGGACAGTCAGCTGTGCACGGTTTAGTATCTGGTGAAATCCTAGAAATTAATGGGTGCTAACAGGAGGTTCCCACAGTAGAGCGGAGGAATAACTAGATCCAGAGGCTGGAGACCTGCTGTTCCCATGTAGTAGCCAAATCTTCTTGGGCAGAGGGCTTCCTCTATCTTGGCCTCAGTTTGTTCATCTGTGGAATCATTGGTTGGTATAAGCAATCTAGAAGATTCCTTTAATTTTTGGCACCATCTGCCTCATAAGAACATGGGCAACTGGCATTGTCCATCTTCTAGCCCTAGAGCAATGCTTTGAGGTGGGTACTATCATCCCCGTTTTGCAGATTATGAAACTGAGGCTCTGAAGAGGTAGCTTTCTCTATTAAGTGAAAGAGTTGGTGATTAAACATGGGTTTATCAAAAAGAATGCCCTTCCTTGATTCAGTGCTCTTTTTAAAACTCTTGAGAACATTTTCTCCCTTTCTGAAGATGATTTCTTCAGCAGGTCATGAAACTCTTTACAGTTAAGAGTCACAGTTACAGACAATGGCAAATTATTTAAAGCATCTTCTCAAGAAACATTGCACTTGCACCTCAATACACTCTGAAGAACAGATTGAATGCATATTCAGAACTGTTTCTTTTCCTCCTTTTCATAACAGCCACATCAGCTTCTGCCTCCACCAAACCCTATTTCAAGTGCCAATTATGAGAAGCCTGCTGTAAGTACAATTTATACATTTAATCTTCAAATACTGAGTGTATATCTGCTAAGTGCTAGGTCTCATGCTTAGTACACAGTTCCTACCATCATGATACTTATAGACTAGTGAGAGAGGCAAACAAAAAACAGAGAATTACAATACAGTGTGGTAAGTTGTTTGGGTGAACCAAGCACAGGGTGCTGGGGGTATAAGGGAGGGCAGAGACGTCTACCTGGAGGAGGTTACCTCCAAACTAAGACCCAAAGGACAGCTGAGTTCGGGAGTGAGCCAGGTGGGAGAGAGGCAAAGGGAAGATGGAATAGAGGGAGGTAAGGGGAAGGGCTGTGCATTCCTGTAATTGCTAGTATTAAATTACAGGCAAAAGAGTAGAGTTCAAGGCAGAAAAGGGAGACATTTAGTCTGTGGAAGTCAGCAAAGCAAGTGCTAGGTTTCAAGGGTCTGCAAGCCAAGCCAAAAAGTTTGACCATTTTCTGTGGGCAATGGGGAGCTACAGAAGGGTTTAAAGCAGGAAACAGGTATGACAACACTAGTGTTTCAGAAATTACCTTGGCTACAGTGTGCAGATTAATCAGAAGGGACAGGAGCAGGGGTCCAAAGGCCAGTTAGGTGACTCCTGTGTTATCTGAACTAGAATCACAGCAGTGAGCCCATAGACTAGTGGGCAATTGGAGAGACATGAAGGAAGCAGAAGTGACTAATTGGGTCATTGATTGAATATGGCGCATTAAAGATGAGAAAGGTCAAGAATGATGCCCAGGTTTCTGCTTGGATGATTGAGTGGTGACAGTTTCCTTTCCAGGGATTGTTTCATTGCTGGGATTAGAAAGTCTCTCTATTCCTTTGCTAGCTTAAGTAAAGATCTCGTTTAAATCAGCATAGAAACCTCATGGAACTCCATCACAGGAAGAACAGCCAGGCCTGGGACTCTTGTCTCTATTAGTCTGCTTTGCTCTCTCTATAGACCACCTTCTGAAAGGGTCTTTCTTCCTCCCAACCTCACCCCAAAACACATATATAGGTGACATGAGCTTGCACACAGCTTTGGGTCACCCTGGCACTGATTCTTGCCCTAAGTCTGTGTGATCTTACAGCTGCTGACCCCAGTACTACTGACTCAGTTCAGAGTCTTGGGAGAGATAGTTTATATGGTCTGTCTTGGGTCAATTGCCCACTCCCAGCCCAATCAAGAGTTACCAGGAGAATGAGTTTGAAGGTCTAAGGCCACTCCTTATGGCAGGGATTGTGGGGGCATTTTCTATTGTGCTGCTATTGACCAAGGAGGAACTAATTTGGAGCATGGTGAGTCTGAGGTGCCTGGAGGAAACCTGAGTGGAGACTACCAGGAAGGAATAGGTTCTGAAGGTCTGAAACCCCACAGTGGGATCTTGGCTGTAGATGAGCCATGCAATTACTACGGGGCTGGTTGGATTCCCAAAAGAGAATCTATACAGTCAGAAGGGATTAGACTATGAGGAGCAAAACTGAAAAGGAACTGATGGGAGAAATATGAGAAAGAAACTGAGAAGCCATAGCCAGAAAGGAAGAAAGCAAGCCAAGCAAGGTAGTAGCCAACAGTGTCAAAGGCTGCCAGGAAATTCATAAGAAGAACCAAAAGGTGTCCTTCAAATTTAGAAACTAGAGCAAAGCATTTAGTAGCCAAAAAGATTCTAGTTGGTTGAAGAGTCAGTGGGAAGTGAAGGAAGAGAAATGTGAGTGTCAGTAACCCTTCAAAAAGCCCCAAAGTTAGGGCAGTAGCTAAAGGATTTTTTAAATGGTATTTTATAAATTCAGAACTAATACGTATTCATTGCAGAAAATGTCAACAATGCATGAAAAGAATGGAGAAGAAAATAGTAACACACCTACAATTTTATCAAAACTACAACCATCCACAAAATAGCAATTTTAACATTTTGAGTGTTATAACATTACTGTCTTCCTAAAAGTACAATATAAAAATGTTGTCATTTTATAAAAATGTTCCAGCAATTAGAGAAATACAAACATGAGAACACAAAAACCCCCAATCTCGTCATTCAGAAACAACCGTAATTTCAGACATTTCTCTGTGTCTCTCTAAAGGACAGTAGGGCTTGGTGGGATTAGAGGTGGCAAGGAAGCCCTGCAGTTGCCCCCTGCCTGTGCCTTTCTTAGGTGGCCCCTGGCATTGGGGAAGCCTCATTCCATCAAGGCCTCGTGTGATGCACTCTGATGTAGCCCCAAAGCACACTGGTTGGAAGATGATGAGACCATAGGGCTTCTTCCCTCAGGCACCAGAGTCTCCAGATGCATGAGGAAGAAGACGGGGGGTGGGGGCAGTATAGTCAGATGGCAAGGACATCAAAGGGTCAGGGTGTATATGTGGAGGTGGAAGTCTGGTGGCCTGCCTGTGATTGTGGTGGGTGGGCAGCATGCTAAAGCTCCCTCTTACCCTAATGGCTGGGAATGTAGAGCATAAAATGCTAGCCACTGGGAGGCCTGCTGGGGAAGCCTTGGCTCAGTGCGGGGCAGGAAGGAGATGGGGATGGGGTGTGATGCTGCTTGACCTGGACCTCCATCTAGTATGGTGGTCAAGACAGAACCAGGATGAATAAAAAGAGAGAGACTGGAGCAGGTGGCAGCCTTGGGGTCTGTCCTCTGCAGGAAGGAAAGGGGTGGTGAATGGAGAAAAATATCCAGAGATGTGCAAGGGCTGCTTGGGGCCAGTCTGGACACTCACTGTAGCTCATGGCCAGTTGTGGCCAACTGGCTGGAAGCTGGAGAAGCAGAAGACCACCATGGTGATCCTGGTCACTGGGACACACAGAGGCTTTGTTCAGGTCTGAGAGGCGGGGTAGAAACCAGGAGAGAAACACTGGCCGCCTCCTGCCCCACCGCCTGAGCCTCATTTCATGTCCTTTGGCTTAAGATATTTAAAAATATTTTCCTTTTTGGTAACTTGGACCCAGGTCCTGCACCAGCCTCTCAGCTCTAAGTTGATGAGATAAAAGTTACCCCCGAGATGAGATTGATGGGAGGCAGGGAGATGAGTGTTCCTTGATTATGGAATGCATTCCAGAGGGTGTGGCAGAAAGGCTGAGAGAGGGCAGTAGTAGGAGGCTGGGTTTTGGGAGAGAAAGTGTGGAAGAAATAGACTACGGATTGGTTTTTATTTTGGCTGCTGACCAAGATAGCAGGGATGTGAAGCTGGAATTACTATAAGACCCCTAGTTCCAGAAGGGTCTATCTCAGCAGTCTTAGTCATAGGTGCCATACCCTTCTTTCGATGGCTTTCTCCCAGATCCCTCATGTGATCAGCCCCAGGCCTATCCAGGAGATGGAAGAAAGGGCTGCAGGCAGATAGCTGGGAGAAGCTCTGGGATCCAGGGCCAAAGCCAGCTTAAAACCCCTGCACAGACCCAGAGGTCTCAAACTTATGGCCTGCAGGTGGATTCCGAGATTCAGATCCCTGAAGTTCTTTATTTGGTCCAAGCAATATTTTGTTCTGTTTTTTTTTTTTTTTTTTTTTTTTTCACCTAAGGAAGACATTTCTACCACTTAGAGCTGTTCAGAGAGCTGAAACAGGCTGCTTGGGAGACCATAGCTCTCCTTCCCCGGAAATGGTCAGGCAGAGACTGTAATTCCAATGTCAGGGAGGGATTGAATAAAATGACCTCCAACGTGCCTTCCAGCCTAAGAAGTCTGGAATCTTTGCAGGAATGTGAGATGGTTCTGGGGGCTGGAGTTTGCCTTTGATTCTGACTGCTCTCTTTTGTCTCACATTTTTCAGCTGCATTTGGCTGCTCTGAACATGCCATTTTCTGGGGACATTCGAGCTGATTTTCAGTGCTTCAAGCAGGCCAGAGCTGCAGGACTGTTGTCCACCTACCGAGCATTCTTATCTTCCCATTTGCAAGATCTGTCCACCATTGTGAGGAAAGCAGAGAGATACAGCCTTCCCATAGTGAACCTCAAGGTAAAAATAAATATGGTTCCCATTGCCTTCTGCATGCATTGGTCGCTACAGGGCCTGGAGGCAGTTTTCATTCCTGACATCAACAGAAGACTGTTGACTTAAGCCTGCTCTCTCCCTTACTGGCTATGTCACTTTGGGTGGGTTCTTTGCCTTCCCTGAACCTCAGTTTTCTTTATGCTTGTGTGACCCTTGGAGCATGCAGGAGGAGAGATAGTGATAACTTCTTTCATTGATACAGGGTTTTCTTGTTTGTTTACAAAGTACCTCATTATCTTAATAGGGACTTCTAATAAACATGAGAGTTATTCATTTTTTAGTTTGTCAGATGAGAAAACTGAGGCTCAGAAGAAGAAACCAGTTTGCTTAAAATCACTGCAAACTAGGGCACTTTGTCCTGAACCCTGTTTTGGTGTTCTGTGCCCATTTAAGCAGATATTTCTCTGCCCCATTTGTGGGTAAGACAGGGCCTTGTAGGATCCCTCGATTATTCCATAGAAATAGCAGACTCTTTCAAGGCTATGCAGAGAAACCTCGTTGCCACTCACATACACCGTGGAGAAGCTCTGGGTCCTGATGACTGTTTCTTAAAGGTACTTCAAGACCCTTTAGTCTCTGCAACCCCAGTACTCCAATTTAAAACCTTGAGGCTAGCAAGTTCCATCCTAACCCCATACCCAGCACTTTCCACCTCCTCTCCCAGAATTCTGTTCCAGCACCTTCACCCACTGAAATTATTTTTATTCTTGGATCTCTCTACAAGGGACCAGGCTGTTTCAGGAAAAGGACTAAAAAGTTCATCTCCATCTCACCCACAGTGTAGACTGGCACAAGGCCTGCCACAAATTTGAAGCTTAGTATGTATGCATAATATTTTCAAAATAACAATAATAAAATAAAGACATAAAACACAATTTTGATTGGAAGGAGGCTTGTATACACTTCTAATAAGAGAAATTCCCTCAAGAAATAAGACAGTAAAAGCAAAAGCGTTCATGGATGGATTATAAAATCAAACCACAAACATTTCTTGAGTTTTCACTCTGTCCAGGCTCTAGGATTGGGGCTGGAGACTCTAATGTGAGGTGGCATCTGGGCCTTGAAGAGCGAGTAAAAATCGGCCAAGTGTGGTGGTGCATGCCTGTATTCCCAGCACTTTGGGAGGCCGAGGTGGGTGGATCACCTGAGGTCAGGAGTTCGAGACCAGCCTGACCAACATGAAGAAACCCTGCCTCTACTAAAAATACAAAATTAGCCGGGTATGGTGGTGCATGCCTGTAATCCCAGCTACTCGGGAGGCTGAGGCAGGAGAATCACTTGAACCTGGGAGGTGGAGGTTGCAGTGAGCCAAGATCCCACCATTGCACTCCAGCCTGGCTGGATGACAAAAGCGAAACTGTGTCAAAAAAAAAAAAAAAAAAAGAGTAAAAATCTAACTCATTTGTAGGCTGATGGTATAATGATTCTAATGTGGTATTTTGTCTCTATAGGGCCAAGTACTTTTTAATAATTGGGACTCAATTTTTTCTGGCCACGGAGGTCAGTTCAATATGCATATTCCAATATACTCCTTTGATGGTCGAGACATAATGACAGATCCTTCTTGGTAAGTGAGGGTGGAAGTTCTCAGATATGGTGTGATAGATAGTTTTAGGGGGCATCCTAACAATGGGATGCCTTTATCAGCTGCTTCTCTAGGATATTGCCAACATAAAGCCACAGTGAGGCAACTGAGGGCCTCAGAGAAAGCCTTGTCCTTGGAGTCAGAAGACCCAGGTCCAGTAACTCAATATGGAATCCTGGGCAAGACATTTCCATTCTCTGAGCCTCAGCTGCCTTACCTGTCAAATGGGCAACATAACCACATCTATGTCATAGAATTGTGAGAATAAAATGAATATATGTGAAAACATATAGCACGCAGTGGGCACATAATAAGTGGTAAGCAATGCAACTCCTGGGGATCCTGTAACTCTACACTGTGATTTGCACTCTAAATCTTGAAAATTATGTGAGTTTTTCAGAATAGAACAACTCAGCAAACCTCTCCTCACTGCCTACTCTATACGAGGCCTGAGGCCAGGCCTGGAAGGCACAATAATAAACCCACACAGCTCCTACTTTTACAGGGCTCACAGTCTACAGAGGAAATAGACACACACTAACTGTGACTCTAGACAGAATATTGTAATTGTAAGTGGAGAAACAGGTACCATAGGATATACAGGATATGTTTGTTTTCATTTTTACTTAGGGGTGAGAATCAGAGATGGCTTCCTGCAAGAGGAAGTTGTTTATTGGCCTTTGAAAGATGAGAAGGAGTCACTGGTCTGAAAATGAAAGAGAAGCCCTCCAGACCAAGGGACCCCATGAGCAAAGGTTTAGATTCACAAAAGAAGAGGGTGTGATTTGAAAACAACTGCAAGCTGGGTGTGGCTGCAATCTAGTGTGTTAAGAAAGCTAGCAAGGGCAATGAGGATAGAGAAGTGATTTGGCATCAGGGTTAAGGAGTTTAACTTGATTCATTAGACTTATGCCAATTTGCTTACCAAAAAATACCACAAAGAAGTGTCATTTTGAAAAATAACATGACAAAATTACTTTATAGGCCCCAGAAAGTCATTTGGCATGGCTCCAGCCCCCATGGCGTCCGCCTTGTGGATAACTACTGTGAAGCATGGCGAACCGCGGACACAGCGGTCACGGGACTTGCCTCCCCGCTGAGCACGGGGAAGATTCTGGACCAGAAAGCATACAGCTGTGCTAATCGGCTAATTGTCCTATGTATCGAAAACAGTTTCATGACAGACGCTAGGAAGTAATGGCCTTCTGATGATTCTTAAAGAGTTTTCAATTTTTTCTTATGTGAAGAGTTGACACTGAAATCTAAAATGTTTAATTGTTGTAAATATTACAGTTTTTTTTTTTTACTACATATTCTTTACAACAGCAACCAAAGAAAACATACCTCAATACACTCAAAACTGAAGACATAGAGGACTCAGATCAAAGACAAAATCTGATCCATATATTGGTGCTAGATTCTGCAGGAAACCCCAGCAGTGTGAACGCATCCCAACATAGGTTAAGAGCAAGTTGAAAACAAAGGCCATGGCATTCTGCCACTGCATCCTTCAGACAGTTATATCCTCCTTTTAAACCATTGTTGTTGAGTGTAAGATGTCCTTCATGTTTTCTTATAAAGTCAGTGTTTAGAAATGTTACCCTTTCTAAGTTATATACAGATCAAATGCTTTTTTCTTTCACGTACATCCATCATTTGCAACTGCTGTTCGTACACAGAAACAGGACTGCTCAAATGATCCTATTTGTATTTTCTGATGCTATCAGACTCTAATGTTTTTTTCCCTAAAATATTATTGCCATCATGCTTTAGGAATTTTATATTTTTACACAATCATATTTTAGTATGGTGTCTGTTTATGTAACTCTGACTTGCTGGAAAAGTTGAAACTCCAAATAATCTGAAACTAGAAAAGAAATAGCACATAATTACTACCTTCCCCTTGGCGGCTCTCCTCCCCAACCCCCACCCCACAATTTTATGACTTCCATTTGGCAATTGTTGAATTATAACTGCGACTGAAACAAACAGGTTCATAGAGATGAATTTTCTGAGAAACATATATCTACATGTTGTATAATTGGATTTTTTTTCCATGTAAGTGAACATAAAAACATCTTTTCCGGGTGCTTTCTTCATTTGACTTTTTCCCGCTAGTTCCTTTATTCTCCATCACTGATGTGGAAGCAGACCTGGGGTGGGTTTGCTAATCCTGCCACTTGTGCTGCCCCCAGGCGATGATCAGAGAACTGAAACGTTTTCCCATCATGCTCATCTGCCCTGGCTGTTGTCTTCCACCTAGTGGGGCCAGTGTAGGTTGTGTAGAGCCTCAGAGTGGGAAACAGGATGAGCTGTGATTCTGCCACCGTCTCAGGGCATGACTTTGGGCAAGTCGGCCTCTGTCTCTCAAGGAGATTGGGATAAGACAAGCATAGTATTGGCTACCAGTCATTAAATATCAGACTTCTGATATATCCCATTTCATTTTCATAATAACCCTGCAAAGTAGTTTTTTAATCTCTACTTTACAATGCAAAAAAAAAAAAAAAGTCAAAGCTCAGGGAGTTACTTGTTCCAGATCATACACTGGTGAATGGCAGGGCTGGTTTCAGACTCAGGGTCTGCCTCACGTCGGGGCCTATGATCTTCCCAAGGAACCCCTATGCAAGCCTGCCTCTCTGCTCCCTCCCAGCTGCAAGCATGTGATTCTCTGGCTCTTGGTCTGACCCTCTAGGAGAAACATAATCACCAGGCAAGAAGTATGCTGGGATATTTCCTCCCATTCAGCTGGGCTGGCCCAGAAGCTCAGCAAAGTGAATCCGCCCTCAGAATCCTTGAAGTAGGAAGGAAATCAAAGAGGAAAAACAAAGAAAAAAAGGCAGCCCAGAATCTCCATGTAGGGGCTGCATAAATACATGAGTGGTGAGAATCTTCCTAATGAGTCACAGAATGAAGACTGTTTGAGGCTGGAAAGCCCGAGAGGTGGTTTTTGAGGACCAGCCCATCCGTTGAGTGATGAGGGCTGGGGGTGCTTGGTATGGACAGGAACTGCAAGGGGAAGGCGGGCAGGAGGCTACCAAGGCCACGAAGCGCAGACACCGTCCATTTCTGTCACAGCCCACCTGGCCCAGAGTTACAGAAGAGGCAATGTGAGTTGGGGTTTTGGGGAGGAGCCCAAAGTCAGGGAGACCTCATTTGCTAACCCTGGAAAGAGTATTGAGGCTTATGGCATTGCCATTCAGGCCTCTCCATGCACCAGAGGAGGTATAACCGGCTGACCCAGAAGGAGGCCCTGAGTCAGCCCCAGCCCCATTTAGACTTGGAGAATGAGTGTCAAAATCCTGGACCTGACATTCACTAAACACCAGCCCTTGCCCAAGCTTTCCCGTCACATGTTGAAAACCGTCACCCTGGTATCCTCAAGGTCACTCAGACAAGCCACAGAGGCTCCTCTGCAGGCTGTGTCATCGGAGCCCCACCCCATCTCAGGAAAGCCTTAAACACTCCGGGCCTAGCCTGGCCCTTCTGCCAACGGCCAGCACATCTGTGATATCCCCCAGCTCCCAAACCTGCCTGCCTTTCCTCATACTTCCTCCTCTGAACACCTGACATGTGTAGCATCCGAGTCTTGTTACACAGTTGAAACACAATGGCGGAAGGGCCTCTAAGCCTTCACTCTATCCCATGCCTGGATGTCTCAAATGTGCCTGAATGCTGAGCCAATTAACAGTCTCAGGCATGATAAGGGAGGGAAGAATTGTCACGAGTAATTCATCTTTATCGTGCTAGAGGTCTTTTGGAGACTTGCTGTGAGTCCATACTGCACACCCTCAGGGTCTGAAGCCTGCAGCAGCCAAAGCCCCTACCCAGCAACAGAACCAGAGGGATAGAAACAGCTGCCAGCCCATGTCAGGGGCCAGGCTCCATAAGGTGGCAGACTCTGGAGGGTGCACAGGAGCAGAGGGTCTGAGCAGGTATGTGGGGAGAGCATGAAGGAGGTGGTCCAGGAGAATCCCCCTGGCAACCTGGACGTGGCCACATAGAGTAGACCGAAGAAAAACCCAGGGAACAAGGAGAATGGGCTGCAGGAGCCATCCTTGCATTTCCCGTCTCCTCCTGGACTTCATGTGGCTAGCATGGTGTCTCTTGAACCTGTAAAGGGTGTAAGTCAGAGACAGCGTGGAATTCTGGGAACCATCAGCAATCCAGTACAGCTGAATAGCAGTCAAGACACTTTCTATTAGTCCATAAAGGGAACACAACTCAAATTCACAAGTTTTTTTGTTTGTTTGTTTTTTTTAAAGAAATGTATTGGCTCATGAAACCAGGTAGGACGGGGATGCAGAGACTCAAGCAACGTGGCATGACAATGTGGTCACTCACTCTGTTCTCTCTCTCGGTGTGTGTATGTGTGTGTGTGTGTGTGTGTGTGTGTGTGTGTGTGTGTGTAAGACTATGTCTATCTGTCTTGCTTCTCTTTTTCTGTGAATATGGCTCCTTCCATCCAAGTGAGGACAAGATTCATGCGGCAGAGATGTCTGCAAACAGCTCTAGGCTTATGTTATTCCACCACCCCAGAGAGTGGCTCCAGAGGAAAGAGAAGACTTCCTCTCCCACTGGGATGATACGAATTCCTGGAAAGGACTCTGATTGGTTCCAACTGTATCACAGGCCCATGACTGTGTTTGGCAGCCCCCACCCCAGAAATGAGTTGGGCAGAAGGAATAATTCCTCCATCCAAAATGCATGGGGATTTGCAATGACCTGAAAATGAGGGATAGAAGGTTGACAGGGCCAACAAAATAGATTCTACCACACACAGCAGCAGGGAAGATCAAGTGTGGGGGACGTTGCAGTGAAATAATAGACAGAGGTGAGATCATGCTGGCCTTGAAATCCAGGATGAGGCATTTAGACTTTATCCTGCAACTGACGTAGTAGTTAAGAAGAAAGTACTTAGGCAGATAGTGAGGGTACAGGAATCCTCAGTAAGGTTTTCCTTTTAATGAAAAGCAGCCCCAAAATCAAGTTCTTTCTCTTCTTCTTCTTCTTCTTTTTTTTTTTTTTTTGAGATGGAGTCTCACTCTGTCACCAGGCTGGAGTGCAGTGGCACAATCTCAGCTCACTGCAACCTCCGCCTCCCAGGTTCAAGCGATTCTCCTGCCTCAGCCTCCTGAGTGGCTGGGACTACAGGAGCATGCCACCATGCCCAGGTAATTTTTGTATTTTTAGTAGAGACAGGGTTTCATCATGTTGGCCAGGATGGTCTCGATCTCCTGACCTCATGATCCGCCCGCCTTGGCCTCCCAAAGTGTTGGGATTACAGGTGTGAGCCACCACACCCAGGCAATCATGTTCTTTTCTAACAAAGAGCAGCCTGTAAAATTGAGCTGCAGACATAGACAAGCAAGCTGGAAGCTTGCACAGGTGAATGCTGGCACTTGTGTCAATAGGAGAAGGCTACCTGGGACTAGGCATGATCAAAATGATGGCTCCATGTTCCCTTCTCTTTGCCAGCCACGTGTACAGTAAGGAGCAGACAAGATGGCGCTGGCCAAGTGGAAGGCCCATTTGCAGAATAAGATTAGGGTGGGGTGACCAGCCTTCCCCAAGTGCTATGTAAACGTCGCATCTGGTCAAACCAATCTGTGGGCCCTACTTAAGTCAGACACCGCCTCCTCAAGCCTGCATGCATATAAAATCTGCTGCAGGTTTTCCGTTTCAGTCACCTCTTCCTCATGAGAGGGAAGGCTGCTCTCCTCTCACCTTCCTATTGCCTATTAAACTTTCCGTTCTTTGACCCACTCACATGTGTCCCTGTCCTTAAACTTCTTGGTGCAAGATGACAAACTCCGAGACAATGTTGCTGCTTCACAACTGGTAGGGCACCTTGGGAATATTTAAATGAGGTAAGAGATGGTATTGGATCCATGTTTGAGAAAGATCAAGCAGGTTTTTTGTTTATTTGTGCACTCATTCAGAAATATTTCTTGAATAATAATTTGTACCCAGGATCATGTTTGGACTTGGGAGTACAAAGATAAATGATGCCCCCACTTTTCAAATCTACTAAGTCCATTCTAATGCCACAGACTGTTTCAAATCTCCTGTATATTTCCTGCCACCTGCTCTCCACCTCCTCAGAAACCCTACCAGTGGGGGACAAGCACATGCATGCAGTCCTTGTCTATCCTAACAGCTGGAGAAGTACTTTTCTGGTTACCCCTTGAGCTCCTGGTCCATCAAAACACCACTGAGCCTCCTCAAACCTCTTTGATAGCCACTAACTGATTTTCTCCTTTTGCTTTCCATCTTGTACTCCAATTTATAGGGCCGGTAAATAGAGAGATGCCTTGGTCTGTGTCTGAATTTTGGTCCTGCCACCTACTAACCATGTAATCATAGCCAAGCTACTGAAAAACTCCAAGTTACTGAAAATAGTCCTCCACACTCAGTCCTTCCCTGCAGCTCAGTTTCTTCATCTGTAAAAGGGGGACATTCATGGAAACTACTCTCCTTTCAGTTAATTTACAGGAAGCACTGGGAACAGCATTCTGGCCCCGTGTAAGCGTCCAATCAGTGTTTGCTATCTTTGGCCTGTTCCAGTTGTCTCTCAGTAGGAGCTGGGGGAAGGTCTCTCCTTCAACCATCCTAGCTGGTGTCTTCCAATCTGCCTGGCTTCTCTGCCTGTCTTCAGGCACAGGGCTGGGACTCAATGTATACATAGCAGTACAGCTCTGCCTGCTGTTGGTAAATATCCGTTGTCCCACGACCCCGAATGTCTGGACTATCCTGGCCCTCTGCTCCTGCCCTTCATAATCCAACAAGTAAAATGTTATCATCTGGCTCATTAGCGGCTGCTGACAAGAGGGCTGAATTCCTTCTGATAGACAGGCACACATGCCACAGCGACTGTTTAGTCATCTCATCATCCCCCTGCATGAGCCTGCTGGGGGCCCTGAGTTCCAAGAAGGACCCAGAGCACCCTGTTATCTGATATGTTTGTGGGAGGAAATTGCCTCCCTCTCCTCTCCTTCCAAACTTGTGCCTTTTCCTCTGGTCCTTCTCTTAGTGAGTGGCTCCACCATCCAGCCAGGAGCCTAGGAATCTTTTATTTATTCAACGATATTGACTAAGTGTCTCCTTAGTAATAAAAATAACAACAATAAACCATAAAATAAGTGCTAGGAAGCTCTGCAGAGTTGGGATATTTTTATGATGACTACTTTGATTTTTTTTTTTTTTTTTTTTTGAGACAGGATCTCACTCTTTAACCCAGGGTAGAATACAGTGGTGTGATCATGGCTCATTGCAGCCTTAATTCCTGGGCTCAAGTGATTCTCCCACCTCAGCCTCCTGAGTAGCTAGGACTACAGGTGTGTGCCACCAGGCCTGGCTAATTTTTAGTACATATACATATATATATATATGCATATGTACTAATATATGTATGTTTAGTACATATATATGTTTGTAGAGACAAGGTCTTGCAATGTTGCTCAGGCTGGTCTTGAACTCCTGGCCTCACAAAATTCTCCTGCCTCGGCCTTTCAAAGCGTTGCACGTGGTGGTCTTCCCTTGAGGCAATGTGGTGCTGGCTCTTTTCTTATCTTCCCTAGGACTGTTGCTCACATCTCCTGGCCTCTACAGTTCCATCTCCTCCAGTTCATTCTCCACACCAGGGGAGAGAGCTTTCTAGAAAGCCTGTCATACTTAGTGTTTTGATTTGAGTTTCCCTTTAGAGGAGGATTCATTAATTTCTCTGCAAGGCGATCCCAAGAAACAAGGTAAGAGAGCAGAGAAATGAGACAGGGATGGGAAGGAAGATTTTAAAGGGTGCATCTAGTTCTCACTGTGAGTGACTAGATCACACTGTCCTCTTAAGGGTTCTGGGAGCCCGTGCAGTCTGGCACCTCAGAGTTTCCAACCAAAGGGACAAGGATGTTATGGTCTTCATACACCAACCCCTCTCAGTCTTTGAAAAACAGGAGGGCGAGGCACTGGATGAGATTCCAGTACTTCTGGCCTGCTGCACACGACAGAGTGGGCTCAGCTGCCACAGAATGCTCTCAGGCAGACACGTGGATGCTGGCAGTGGGAACTTGGGGGTTTATGGGCGGGGCACCCCAGAGACTGCAGTATCAGGCCCAATCTAGCAGGAAGTCACACAAGGTTTACTTCAAGATAACACTTTGAGCTTACAATACTTTCCTCAAACCTTACTGAAATGATAAAAACAACAGAGAAAAAACAAAAAACAAACAAAAAAAGACCTGCAACCCCTTGTTAAAAAAGGAAGAACTATCTCAACCTGGCAGAAACTTTGAGGACTTTCTGGAAGATAGAAACCTGCTATGATTGGCTATCCTATAACCACAGCAGCAAAGGCAGGGCCTGTCTTCGAGTCCCTCCTGAGGCTGATAGCCACAGGAAAGTGCCAGTAGAGGCTGAAACAGAAATAAGCTGGGAAAAGGCTGGGGGGAAGCTCATAGAGACTTGTGCAGTTGCTGACAGCACCCAGAAGACCTATCAGTCCTTTCAATGTGGGCTTTCATATTTATGAACATCAGTACAGAACAACAAACACCAATTAATCATTTGAGGAGATCTAGCAGCCTCCAAAAGGGAATCAACAGTTAATCAGAGCCAATGGCTTCTGTTTCGAAAGAATGATTACAGAAAACAGGAGATAACTTTTAAAGATTCAAATTTGTATTTTCATCCAACTCCACTGGAAACAAGGAAAAGAAAGCAAATTGGTATTCTCAGTAAAATTTCAGAGAGTAAAAGAAGCATGAAATGAAATACTGGGAGAATAAGAAACAGTCCTTGAAAATAAAAGAACGACTGTATCACCAGAATAAAATAGAACTACAGCATATATGCTACTGAAACCTGATTTAATGAATTGTTAGATCAAAAGAATTAATATAATTGCTCAAAGGACACAGACAAAAAGATAAATTCATGAAATAAAAGATGAGGGAAGGAGATAGACATAATGTTTCAATATTTATATAACAGGAGTCACAGAATAAAAGAGAATATTAGATGGAAGAGAAGTACCAGTGAACAAAAGAAGTTTGGTGCGGTGGCTGGAGCCTGTAGTCCCAGCTACTTGGGAGGCTGAGGCAGGAGGATCTCTTAAGCCTGGAAGTTCAAGACCAGCGGAGCAACATAATGAGACACTATCCCCATCAAAATATAAATATAAATAAATAAATAAATAAATGAAAGAAAATTTCCTGAGCTAAAGAAGGAGCATAATCTGTAGATTGAAATGATTCACTGAGTCCTGGGCAGAATTGTTGCAAAATATCCACCTGTGTACATTTCTGGTAAAGTTTATGCATTTCAGTAACGATGTAAAATCCTACACACTTCTATATAGAGAGCAATTCAGATTGGCATTGGAGTTCTTATTTGCAATATTGAAAATTAGAAGACAATGGGGTAAAGTATAAATAATCCCGTGGATTAAGAATTATATTAAAATTTCACAGCCAACCAAACTTTCATGTATGGGAACAAAGAGAGACATTTTCAGAAGTGTCAAAACTCAAAATTATAGCATCCAGGTGCCTTTTCTGAAAAACAGACTTTGTGGAAGGATTATAACCAAATGGAAATTAACCAGGAATTAGTATTTCACAAAGCAGAGGATGTGATGATAGAAATCTAATGAGAAACAAAGTCAAGATCACTTACGGTTATATCCAAATCAATTTTCCCAACGTGTAGTATTTTTACCACATATGGATTGAGATGGTTTTTACTGTAACAGTTATATATTTATTTCAATAGTTGTTAGGAAAATATAGGTAGATACTAAATCCATAATTTCATATTTATTTGTATTTAATATAAAGTAAGTATTTAAGTTTTAAAAAGTGGGCTGGTTGAAAGGAAAGTATTAGGTAAGTAATAGTACAAATGATACATTGTAGTGTAGGTGATAGACAACTGACTGAATTTTCGGAAATGTTGAGCCGAATAATTGTCAATAACGTGGTTGTAAAATACATTCCAGACTTTACCCAACTGTGATGATAAAACAGGTTTGTGTTTCTTCTAAAACTTAAATTACAGGGCTGATGCCCTAGGTACAAAATTAGCACAAAGTCATCTTCTTCTCTCTCAAATATTCTTCAAAAATTATTCCTTCAAATATTCTAGGCTTGCTTCTATTTGCCCAGGAATTAGTTCAGCTCATTGTTTATCTGTGGGTACCTCCTGGGAGAAGGGAATTCCAGGATGTCCCCTGTGGCTAGATTCACTTCCCTGGTGTCAACACTCCATTGGCAGTAACTGCCCAGCTGGTGTTTTGGGGCACTCCGCTGAAGTCATGGTGATCTTGAAGAGATGTTCTGGTGGTCCTGTCCCCCAAACCATGTCAGCTGCCACTGATACAGTTCTCTGCCAATCGATTCCACAGTGCTTTCTTGTAGTTCAAGAATGTTTGCCTCTTCTCACAGCGCTGCGCTTGTTTAAGATGCCCACAGTAAAACTGCCTGGTCTCAGTGTTACAGCTCTTAAATAGCACAGCATTTTCTGTTCATCTATGCACTGTAGTTTTCTTCAAGACATCTCCCCAAGCAGGAGAGAAGCCGGCTTAGAAGTTCTACAATTAATTCTATTCTGTGTTCACCTCAAACATTTCCCGGACTGTGGTGATGAGTGTTTTGGTGTCCCGCAAAGCAGAGCCCGAGACAAGGACTTAGTGCAGGCGATCCCAGGAAGTAGGAGCAAGGAGATAGGGAGAGTAAAACAGAGAAAGAGGAAAAGTCCATCAACAGACACACTGTGAGGTCACTATTGTCAGCAACAAGAGCTCAGTTCCACCAGGACCTCTGAGAAGTATGCAGAATATTTCCCACAAGTGTCTACCCAGTGGAGAGGAGGATGGAGCATTTGTTCATTGGCCAACATTGTGCATTGGTTGAGGGTTGCCCATAGGGTATGAGTTCCTCGGCACTTCTGAGCTGGGCCAGCCTGGAAAGCTTCCTGGCATTAGGAGAAGGCCCTAGCACAGAATGAAGAAAGACAAGAGGTATGAGTATTGAGGTAGAGCACCAGCAGCAGAAGGTGAGTCAGACAGTCTATCACAGGTATGAATGAAATCAGAGATGGGCTAAATGAGTGTGACACAGACACAAGAGGCAACAACTACAATCCCACTTAGCAGTCCAGCCTTCCCACTCCTCATCATCAGTTTCAATCATAGCCCCATCTTCCACATAGTTCTATATTGCTTTTTGGCTCCCGTTAGAGCAACGACAGTAGATATGACATGTTTTAACATATTTGATCCTCTGTCAGCAAGAGAAAAAGCAAAAATGAATTAACCAAAGTGTATAAAACACAGTAAACCTGATAAACTTTAAAAAGAGATAAATTTGGTTATTTGAAAACAAAAAATAAGGAAACCTCTGGCAAGTCTGAGAAGCAGACTTCTGGCAAAAGAGAGAAAAACACACATATAGGAAACTGTAATGAAAAAGCTAGAAACCACTGACACAGAAGATATTTTAAAAATTAAAGGAGACTTATACAGTTTACTAATATGAATTTTAAAATATAGATATAATAGATAATGTGCTATGAAAATGTAATGACAAAAACCAATGCAAAAAAAAATAAAGAAAATGTCTGAATTGCTTACTAAACACAAATGAAATTTAAAAGACTATGGAGGCCGGGCACGGTGGCTCACGCCTGTAATCCCAGCACTTTGGGAGGCCGAGGTGGGTGGATCACGAGGTCCGGAGATCGAGACCATCCTGGCTAACACGGTGAAACCCCGTCTCTACTAAAAATACTAAAAAAAAATAATTAGCTGGACGTGGTGGCGGGCGCCTGTAGACCCAGCTACTCGGGAGGCTGAGGCAGGAGAATGGCGTGAACCTGGGAGGCGGAGCTTGCAGTGAGCAGAGATAGCGCCATTGCACTCCAGCCTGGGTGACAGAGCGAGACTCCGCCTCAAAAAAAAAAAAAAGACTATGGAAAATCTGCTCACCTCCCCAAATTTTGCATTCTTAGATAGTTTCATGGGTGGGACAGAAACAGTTCCTGAAAGAAAGGAGAATGCTACAGAAGAAAGAAATAGTAACAGGAAAGTGAAAATAAATGATGCTCATTGCATTCCACCCTTTGAGTAAAACAGACAATGCCACGTAGACTCTTCCACGTATAGAATTCCAAGAAGGCAAACATAATACAATGCAGTCACCTCGCCCTTAAGGGTTGACAACCAAAGCAACATCCAACTATCACATCCAGTTGCAAGTCAAGGGTCGCTGGGTGAGATACGTTCCATTCAATCAGACCCTGATGCTGGTCAGTTAGTAATTATGTATTGAGGACATAAGAGTACAGAAAAGGACGTGTAACTGTCCTCAAATATCTTATACTCCAACGGGAGGAGATAGATAGTAAACATGCAAACAAATAAATAGATAAGATGAATTCAGGTACTGAAAACTGCCAAAAGAAGGTAAAGGTAATGGAGCGGAATGTGATTGGGAGAGGGATGTGCTGCCTTTGCTCACGTGAAGAGGCCCTTCTGAAGAGATGACAGTTGGGTTGAGATGTTTGTCATTGGTTTATTAAGATGTCTTGATTGAGGTATAAATATGAAATCATTTGATTTCTTGCCATTGCTATCCCAACTATGCTATCCCTATAGCATTGTCCCTCAGAACATAGACCTTTATAGACTCTGGTGAAGTATATGAGTTAAGGTCCATCCAAAAGACAAACAGCACTATCAGTATTTGAAATGGGGCTGGGCACAGTAGCTCACACCTGTAATCCCAGCATGTTGGGGGCTGAAGAGGGGGATCGCTTGAAGCCAGGAGTTCAAGACCAGTCTGGGCAACATTGTGAGACCCGCATCTCTATAAAAAAATTTTAAAATTTTTGTTTAAATTAACTGGGTGTGGAGGCACATGCCTGTAGTCCTAGCTGCTCAGGAGGCTCAGACAGGAGGATTGCTTGAGCACAGGAGCTCAAGGCTGCAATAAGCTATGATGGCACCACTGCACTCCAGCCTGGGTGGCAGAATGAGACCCTGTGTATAAGGGGAAAAAAAAGTATCTGAAACAGACAGAATTTGATGCAGACAACTAGTTACATGGATGATGGAAAAGGTGAGAAACTGAACAGAGGACAGTAAGACTACCCAGATTTTGTCAGAAGAGGGGCAAATGGAGGAGGATGTGTGACCAGAGCCCAGAAACTATGAAAAAAGGGTGAAAGCTGGACCGTGCGAGGCCTAGAGTCATACAAGAGGAAAAACCCACGGCCAGAAACTCCACTGGAGATAGAGAGAGTGGACAACGAATACCTTGATTATCTTCCTTCCTCTTGTTTTCCAGTCCCTCACCTGTGCCTGCCTTTGGCCACATAACCAAAAGTAACTGACCCGGGGAAGCACAGCCTGCAGGGATGAGGTCCCAGCCCCAGTACATAGCAGGCGTGGGAAAGGGTGAGGGCAAACAGGTCCAGGGCAGACACAGGAGGATTCCATAACTTTCTGATTATTAAAAGTCCAGTCTTCTTTAAGGCTTCAATCTCAAACTCCGTTTAAATCTTTTTTCCCTTCTCTTGACCTCACATGGAGCACTCTTGAGCTGGGACATTGACTTCTAGAAAAGAAAGTGGAAAAAGGGTATGATCTGGGTCTCAGATATCCACTCCCCTTCCTTCTTCAAGTCCTAGCCCTTCCTGTGTATTTGAGGTGGGCCAAAGGAGAAGAAACTGGAAAAAAGTCTTACTCACCTGGCCACAGCTGCAGTTCTTTCTGGGTTGGCTGGTACTGCTTCTCTGGCTAATGCTGGCCACTGATACCCTCACTGTGGCAGGCATTCAAATGCTGGTCAGTCCTCTGGAGGATTCATGGGACCAAGCCCAACCACCTTCTTCAAGGTTCCCTGAGCCAGGGCAACTGTAGGGCTATGTATAGGCAGCTCCCCTTCTGCCCCTATTTTCAACTTGAAATAATTCCAGTTATCTCCTACTTAATCAGATAAATCCAAGGGCAGATTAGAAAATAATATCCAACTTGAAGGGAAGAGCATACCCATTGCCCCTTCTTTTAGGGATCTCCTGCTTTATGCCTGGTTCTCTGGAGTCTCCCCAATAGTTAGCTTAGCAGGGAGGAGTCACTTCTCATCACAAACACTGCACTTTCCACAAGACAGATGCTTCCGACACTAACTCCCCTCCTTACCCCTTTACAGGCATCTCATGAAGATTGGGAAGGAGGGCTGCAGGAAGCCTGGTAGGGATAGATCTGGTAAGGATAGCCACCTCCCATGATAAGCCCTGGGAGAGGAATCTGGCGCCATGACAGGCAGCTGTCTTGAGAAGGTGGCATGCTTAGAGCCTCTTTGTTGTCACATCTGGGCTTTAGCTGGAATTCCCAAACAGGAAAAGCCTCATCAAACATCCTGCTGCATTTGAACAATGGAAAGGAGGTGAGCTTGCAAAGATCTAGGGGAAGAGGGTCCCGAGAAGGAGGAACAGCAAAAGTAAAAGCCTTGAACGCAAAGTAGCTTGCTGTGGCTGAGGGGCAGAAGGGCGCTGGTAGAAGCTGGAGCAAGAGTATGCGTGGGAGGAGACAGAAAAATAAGGGAGGATGGGCAGGCAGCTGCGGATACCTAGGCTTTTGTAGACTAAGGTAAGGGGCTTAGATTTTATGTCTGGTTGCTCTGAGAAGCTACTGGATGTAGCTTATATAATTGGACGGATTTTACTTTTTCAAGGCAGCAAATTCTGTAAGTGGATGGATCATTATGACATTTTCCACTGTCAGAAAAAATAAAACCAACATTGACTACTTACACAAAGAGAGTCTGACGAAGGCATATTCACCTCTTCTGGCTAACATTCATTTTATTGTTGAGATGGATACAACGATCTAGAGCTTTGCTCTCCACAGATCTATTAGGTTAATAGTGTATGAACTGATCATTGTTTTGGAAAGACCACTGTGACTGTTCTGTGTGTGGAGTAGACTGTGGCGACAATGCTACAGGCAAGTAGACCAGTTAATAAACTGATGCAGTGATTCAGCTGAGAGATGATCATGTCCTGGGCGCTGGTTGAAACAGTGGATGTGGTGAGAAGTGGGCAGATTTGGGATGAATTTAGGAGGAGGAGCCTTGCTGAAAGGTCTCAGTTATGAAATAATGATTCCTGGGATTTGGACCTGGCTGGCCGACTGCCTGGAGAACAATGCTCCCTCCTGGGATGAAAATGACTCCGTAAAGGCAAGATTCATTTATAGTTGTTGTGCTTTTTTTCTTTATGATTACAGCCCCAGGGTCTATAAGAGTGTCTGCCACCTTGTAGGTACCCCACAAATATGTGCTGAATAAATGCAAAAGCAATTGTTGGATCAGGTAATCATTGAGAAGCCTATACTCATGCTCTTGCCACCTAGGACTAAATGATGCATGTAACCACGCTATACAGATGGTCCCAACTTAGGATGGTTCAAGTTATGATTTTTGACTTTATGATGGTGTAGACCTGACACATATTAAGTAGAAAATATATTTCAAATTTTGAATTTTGACCTTTGCTCAGGCTAGTGATGTGCAGTATGATACTCTCTTGTGATGCTGGGCAGCTGTAGTATGCGCAGCTCTCAGTCAGCCACACAATCACAATGGCAAACCACCATGAAATATTTAATACTTTATTCTAAAATAAGCTTTGTATTAGATGATTTTGCTCAACTGTAGGCTAATGGAAGCATTCTGAGCACATTTAAGGTAGGCTAGGCTAAGCCATGTTAGGTTATGTTAGGTTAGGTATTAAATGCACTTTTGACATGATATATTCAACTTGGCAATGGGTTTATCAGGACATAACCCCAGTGTATGTTGAGGAACACCTATATATGTTTGCAAGATTTCCACTTAAAAAGGAGAAATGGTCCGGGCGCAGTGGCTCACGCCTGTAATCCCAGCACTTTGGGAGGCTGAGGCTGGTGGATCACTTGAAGTCAGGAGTTCAAGACCATCCTGACCAACATGGTGAAACCCCGTTTCTACTAAATACAAAAAATTAGCTGCGCATGGTAGTGCATGCCTGTAATCCCAGCCACTTGGGAGGCTGAGGCAGGAAAATCGCTTGAACCTGGGAGGTGAAGGTTGCAGTGTGCCGAGATTGTGCCATTGCACTCCAGCCTGGGCAACAAGAGCAAAACTCTTTCTCAAAAAATAAAATAAAATAAGGAGAAATGGGGAAGCAATTCCAGTTGCCATCAGTTAGGAACCTATGTCCCATCCTTCTGGATAGGGACAGTACAGACTTACTTTGCTGCCAGAGGAGCAAGTTCTTTCTGCCCTCCTGTGGGTCCTACCCCTTAGAGAACTTGGGGTTATCTAAGGGCAGCAGTAAAATAGCCACCATTCTAGAAGGATTTCTGCTCCTCAGCACAGGCCTAGAGAAGTGTTCATTCTCCAGGGACTCAGCTTCCTGGCCTCAGCTGCCTTGATGCTCTGAGTGATGAGGGAGAGCTGAGTGATGAACACAGGCCTAAGCAGTGTTGCTATCAATGTTGCTTCAAGATGAGGTGCTCCCTCTTTACTCCAGCTCCCTCAGGGATCCCTATTCCTAGTTACAGAATTTGCTTTTGCAATTCTTTAAGGAAAAAGACCATCAAACTCTCTGCAGTCTTGGAATCTTGCTGCAAGTAGAAGGAGCCTTTCTTTTATCTGCCTGCTGTTCCTCTTCTGCTTTCAAACAGCCCAGCTTGGATGGAAACATCCTTTTTGGCCATGCCTCATTAAAGGGCATGAGAAATAGTCAACCCATTTTGACATCTTTTGACTTTAGATCTCTTGAAGCAGCTCCTCACTACCTTGCCTCAGACAGTTCCACATTTCAGGGACCATTACCTACAAGTCCTCATTTGCAGATATCAGTTTCTGTATTATTCAGGTCTCTTTAGTTATGGAACAAAAATCCAAGTAAAATTAGCTTAACTAATAAAGCACAGTTAATGGCTCTTGTAAAAAAAGCCAGATGGGTCTGGAATCTGGATCATTGCATCCAGATAAACAAATAATATTGTCAAGTCTTTCTCCTCCCTTCTCCCATCCCTTTCCTTCCATAACTGGTCTCAACTTTTCTTTGTGCTTGGGCTTCATTTTATCTGACTGCAGATGGCTTCATCTTGGCAAGGGCAGGGCTTAATCTCCTGGCTCATGTTATGTAGCTCAGCTCTGCCAAAGCAAGAAGAGGGGTTCTCTCTTCTCCCCATGCTTTACTGGACATAAGTTCCAGCCGATTATCCCAGCTTTGATCAAAGCTCATTCAAACTGATCAGTTTCCTCATTCAATCTCAGTTGCTGGGGGATGGTCACGCCTAGGTCAGGTGATAGTCTTTGTGGCCAGGTGCTAAGAATCTGTGATTGGCACTCCCACCAGAATCAACCCTGTGGTTGGACTAGGGGAGGAGCAGATATCTAAGGGAAGAAGGGGAGGATGGTTGCCCTCATTAAGAAAGGAGAGAGAAGCTGCTCAGGCAAAGACAACAGATCCCTCTTACGGTGAGTCAGATTTAATGCCAGGACCTAAAAAAAGAGCGAGCATTCAAAGGCTTGTTTTTGTTTTCTTTCCTAACTTAAACAAGAAACGACGAAGTTGGTGGGCAGGAATCGTAATGAGGAAGTGAGCATTTCTTCCTTTGTGGAGAAGTGTACTGAGGCAGGAGGTTGTAAGAGCAGGCCCTACATTTGTTCGCTGGGCTCTTGGAGGCTCTTGGAGAGGGAAGCCATTGCAGGTGATGACTCAGTGTGGTGGATCATGCCTCCCTCAGTTCTGCTCTGTCCAATTCTCCAAAGCCAAATAAATAGGAAGTGTGGCAGACGGATTCTTTTTAGTAGCAGTACACTTGGGCTTATTTTCATGGGCATGAGTCCACGGGAAAGCAATTATTTTCTCTTGTTTCTTTGCTGCATCAGAGAAATGGAGCAATTTTAAAGAGGGATTTCAAAGAAACAATATTGTAATTTACAAAAAATGGGATCATGTAGTGACCGCCAAGTTGGCTGTGCTGAAATATGACTTGTTCTGAACAGCGTCCATTAGAATCTTACCATGCCAGAATCAGAAGGGATCAGAAGAGATCACAGCCAACCCTCTCACACTACACAGAAGGAAACTGAGATCCAAAGAGGAAAATGGAGTGACTTAAAGGACCCAGTGAGTTAGAGGAAGTGCAAAACCTAATACTGAGGTTTTTTAAATCCCTGCACAAGGATCTTTTCATTAACTCATTCAAGGATGCTTAATAAAGTAAATAACGGAGTGTCTGCTATAGATTTGCTTCTAAATGTCCTTGAAAGCAGTTGATTGGAAAATTCCACCTGGTGCTGCAAGTGAAATTGCTAAATGAATTTGATTCTTGCATGCCAAAAATATCTCTACAAAGATATGAATTTGTCTTGGTTTAAACACTGCGAGCAACTGGATTCAGACATCAAGGTCATGGCTTTGCTCATAGCACCTTTGCCTTCCAGTGGCCTTTCTGGTCTCTGAATTCCATGGTCTGAAGTTTGTCTTACCGAGGAGACTACTTGACCATGTTTTTGTCATCTCTGGTACCTTCCCGGTTTCCCATCTTGATGGTCAGGCTATGCTGCTCAAGTCTGATCCCCGTGGACCTTCCTCATCACAGCAAGGCTGTGTGGAGCCATTTTCTCCTCCACACCCCCCTTGCTCTGTGCCTTGCAACCTGGGCTGTCTGGACTATAACTCTGCAGGTTGCAGTTGGGTTCAGTCAACTGACCAGACGTGGAAAAGAAGAAGGCGAGGGTGAGGTTGAGGTGCTTATTGCCCGGTTCCCTCTTTGTGGGATTTCCAAGGGCTGGCTGCATCCCTCCATTAAAAACCTCAGCTCCCACCAAGTGGCTCCTCCCATCACAGGACTCCCTCTCCTGGTATCAGTAGCTCTCCGTCCACTTACCTGTTCAGGCCTGGGCAGGTAACAGCACCTGGTGTTACTCATGCTTTGATGAGCCCTTTGGGGTTCTGCATTATCTCTTGTGGTTTCCCCATACCCTGCCATCCCTTTTAAAAATAATTCCTTTATTAAACTCACCTCAAGTTACCCCATTTAAGTGTGCCACCTGTTCATCTGGGACTCTGACTGATATACTACCTGACTCCAACCTGAGACTCCATCTCCCCCAAGTCTCTGGAACATATTCTGTCCCAAGAGGGAGAATCTTTGGAGACTACTTTCAGGAGTCACTGCGTCTGCAAGTTCCTTGAACCTGAACTCCTAAGTCTGAATTGCAAATTCTCACCTTCCTCCTGAGAACAAGCCCCCAAGAACTTACAGTAGAACCTCTCACATGGAGATGGCATGAGGCCAGGAAATCAGGACCTTGAGTGAGGAGGCTGCAGAGCTGTGCTGGCTGTCTGGGATGACATTAGGTATCTCATATAGCAGAGGGGCAAGAAGAGGGGGTCTGGGGATCTTGAGAGAGAGCCCACTCTGGCAACGTTGGAAGCCAGAGTGTTCCTTACCTTTGGGCTGATGAGAACTAGGGGGAGGCATTTGTGTCCCTGCTTAGGCCAGAGCACTAGGAGGGGAGCGCCTGCTAGGGCCCAGCATGATGATGGCAGTGAGACTCTGCTAACTGGACTGAGAGAGCCCTCGGGGAAGGTAAAGCACAGTACTCTCCTCTCAGCATTAATGACTACCCCGCCCCCTGCAAATAGCCCACTGGTTCAAACTCCTACACCCCGTAGCTGAGCCATCCCATGGGTCTCTTAAGCTCCAAGTCCCTGTTCTGACAATCGCAAGCTATTCAATAATAGCCAGTGTCTTCTTTATTTCTATCCCTCATTGTGCTAGACACAAAATATGTTAGCTTAAGAGTAGTTTACAGTCACTTACAACCTGCCTGCTACAGACTGCCACCTGAGCCCAAAACTGTGTGGGATGGCAGTGTCACAGAAGAGATAGTTGCAAAGTTGCCCAAAGTGTTCATATTATCTCACATTTTTTCAAAGTGCTTCACGGTTTGTCATTTTCTCATGTATTATATATCAGTTAATTCTCACAATAAATCTGTTATACATATGTATATATACGTGTGTGCCTATTATGTATAATATACATATTTAACATATATAACATTTTTGTATCTCTCTATATAATGTGTCAGAAGTACAAGGCTTCAAGAAAGAAAATGACTTACCCAAGGTAATATAACAACTCAGAATGAATCGCCTCTTTAGATTTCATGTGAGCTCATTGTGCAATATATTCGTTCTGATTATGTCTACCTTCCACTTGAGTCTGTGAGCTCGTTAAACATAGAGTCCATGGCTTATATTTTTTGTCCTACATTCCAACAAATGTGTGCATGTGTATATGTGTGTATACAATGCATCTTTAATGTTTACTGAATACCAAAACAACTAGTCATGTATCCACCAATTAGATTAGGAAATAGAATTTTACTAGTACTGTCCGAGGCTTCTCTGTGCCCCTTCCCTATATCTTAACCTCTAACCACTATTCTGAATTTCATCTTTATTATATGAATGTATCTATATTATTTAATTGTGTATGTAGCTTAAGTTTAAATAAATGGGTAAATGGTTTATTTATCCTTACCACCATCCTCTGTCCCCACACACCCTCCATGTACACACACAGTGTCCTACATACAGTAGGTCCTTGGCCTGGCCGGGCTCTAGCATGACCAGAAAGCAACTGACTTCCCACCATCATTTCCAAGGGCTTGAAGAAGTCTGGTCAAAGTTTGGCATTGGGTTCTGGGGAGAAAAAATCATGGGAACACAGCATCTTGGAACACCTAGCTACAATGCACGCATGCTGCTACTCCAGTGGAGTCCTTTTGTAATTGTTCAACAGGTTCTTCTTGCCTGCTGCACAGATAAAGCCAGTTCATGGAGAGTGCATTATTGCAGTAAAGGTTTTCATGGATAATTTTGTGGGCAGGGGTCTAGGGAATGGGTGCTGCTGATTGGTTGGGGTTGAAATCCTAGGGTAATGAAAAACAATCCTCATGCATGGAATCCTTCTCTGGGTGGGGGCCATAGGACCAGTTTACTCATGAGTCACAGGTCAAGGAGGGATCAGTTGGTTGCCAGAATGAAAAAGTCTAAAAATCATCTCAAAACACCAATTTTAGTTTCTGCAATAGGGATGTTACCTATAGGAGCAAGTTTGGAAGTCACATATCTTGTGACTTCTGGCCTCATGACTCCTGAGCAGTAAGGGATTGTAGAAGCTACACCTACATTTTAGCAGAATTCAGGCCCCTCCCATAATCCTAATCTCATGGCCTTTCATTTGTTTTACAAAAGTGGCTTTGGTCCCTGAGCAAGGAGGAGGTTAGTTTTAGGGAGGAAGGATTATCATTCTTTGTTTCCAAGTTAAACTAGAAATCAATTATTCCCATGGTTAGCTTGCCCTGGGTGTACCCAGGAATGAGTGAGAACAGCCAGGTTGTGAGGCTAGAAGCAAGATGGAGTTGGCCATGCTAGACTTCTCTTGCTGTCATGATTTTTACAAAGGCAGTTTTACTTTGTAGCCACAAGTCACATAGATTCAGGGGGAAGTCCTAGTGACTGCCTTACTTGTGGAGCTCAAAAATCTTTTCTTTCTGGCCCTTGCTTCTGAGTCGCTGGTGACAAGCACCCCCAACCCCCTCACCCTTAATGATCTACCATTAACCTAATTTCCATTTCCTTACACATTTCCCTGTCAAATTCTTGGAGAGTTTATGCCACATTTTAACAATCATTTCAACAATGCAAGCGGTTTGTGCAAGTCTTAAGAATGACATTTTTCAAACTGTAGGTCATGACCCATTAATGAGTTGTAAAGCCAACTTAGTGGGTTCAGACCAGGATTTTTAAAAAAATGAAATAGAACTGGGCATTACCTCATCAAGCACCCAGGATTACAAAAAGATCAGAATATGCTCCCAGTAGCAAGGTAGCAAGGCGTAAGTGTTATTTTGTGAAAAATGTGTGTGTGTGTGTGTGTCCCAGATCACAGTGTAAAGTGTATTTCTTTCTATAAATTATGTTCAAAAATGTTTTTAAGCCACTCCTCAAGAGGCACCTTGCCAGGGACATTGGTTGCTTGCTCATCTTCCCCCTATTCCACCTCTCCCTATGGTAGAATAATTCTGTGGTTTGGATGGGCTGTAGGAGTGGCCATGAACAGCCTGAACCAATTACCGTAATTTCAACCCAGTTGCTACCAGGATCGGTTCAGAGGTGGTCAGCAATCCAATGCCTAGACCAACTAGGACATGTCATTCCCTGGCTACAGTCAAGGGACACATGACCCAATTAATCCAGGGATCCATCTTCCAGGAAATCCAACCACATCCTTTGATGGGCCTGGAAATCTTACAAAGACGTGCTTTGGAGAGGCCCTGTCTTGTCTGAAACACAAAAAAGCTATTCACTGTCCACCCCACCCCACCCTCAGACCAGAGCCTGCTGGGGAGGGAGAAGAAAAGACCAAAAAACAAACAAATAAGACACAGGATAATTTTAAGTGACACCATTAATAACCTACTTATAAAAGTCATGGTTTTGCTACCTTAAAGAGAGCTTTGTAGGTGACCACAGGTCCTTGTCAAGCGCTGGGTTCCCTCAAGGAGTAGTTTACACATGGAAAAGACTGGGCACTTAGGAGGCTGAATGCCTAAGGAAACAGATTTGAGAATCATTGGCACGTCCATGCCAGGGAAGGCCAGGGGCACATTTGAGGCTGTCCAGGGAGAGGTTCTAGCCAAAGGGAGAAGAGCTGGGGCAGACCCTGGGGAGCAATAGTGCCTGGAGTGGATAAAGAAAAAATTGGTCAGAGAGAAGACAGATACCACAGCGCTTGTCCTGCTGCAGTGTGGTGGACACAGATGAAAACAGTGTTCCCTCTTGTTCCCCTCTGTTAGTCTACCAAGACCTGGTCTACACTGGCCTGCCAGACTTCCAGGGCCCTGGCAATGGAGCTCTGGGCAGTGGGAGAAGTGGAGGGAGAAGGCAAACTGGATACACTTTCTAATGGGCAGATGACCTCTTGAAGGAAAGAAGGCATACAGGAAAGAGGATGGGTGGCATAAACCACATTTTGAAAGAAGGTTTAAATGTAAATTCCCTGGCATCATTAAAAATGTTGTTTTCAGCCGGGCATGGTGGCTCACGCCTGTAATTCCAGCACTTTGGGAGGCTGAGGCGGGTGGATCACCTAAGGTCAGGAGTTCGAGGACCAGCCTGGCCAATATGGCGAAACCCTATCTCTACTAAAAATACAAAAATTAGCCGGGCCTGGTGGCGTGTGCCTGTAGTTCCAGCTAGTTGGGAGGCTGAGACAGGAGAATCGCTTGAACCCGGAAGGCGGAGGTTGCAGTGAGCTGAGATCTCGCCACCGCACTCCAGCCTGGGTGAAGGAGTGAGACTCCGTCTCAAAAATAAATAAATAAATAAATAATGTTATTTTCAATAAAAACTTAAGTGACTTTTTGGTGTATGAGGGGAGGAGTTAGACTGTTGTTTCTTTTGATGAAACATTATGATGAGAAGGCTCGGGGTGATCAGCTATACTGGAGTTATTAATACAATGCTAGAGTAGGTAATTAATTGTATGTAGCCATCTCCCTCACTAAACAGTAAGCGCCTAGAAAAAAAAAAGAGTTGAGCTGAGAGCAGGGGATCTAGCAATGCTTGACGGAGGAAGAAGAAAGGATCAGTGGAAAGATCTCCTGCTTTATTTAGTCCAGTCCCTCCAGGGGCACCTGCCCTTCCCACCTAACCCTACGTAGAAGGGCTGGGGGAGGGACAACAGTGCAGCCCCAGGGCCTGTAGAATCGAGAGGCAAGAGCCCACCTCAGAAATAACATGGAGTCCTCTGTAAATGGAACACTAAGATCAGGTGTGGAGCAGAACCTTCCAGGAGCTCAGACACACATTCTATAAGGATGGTGGATTCCCAGCATTTTCTTCTTTCATTTCCCTTAGCTTCACAGTGAAGTTCCTTTGGAAGGTACCTCCTTGTCTCACTATCTTACCAGAAATGAGGAAGGGGTTCTGGTTTCATTCTGGGGCATGAAGGAGGAGTCAGGAGCTGTACTTTGAGGGGCTGGGTATATGACTCTGGGGCAGAGTTGGAGATGCTGGCATGGTCTGCCTCATCTGAGCAGTGCTCAGCATATGCCCAGGCTCTCTGAAATCTCTCCTAAAAATTCATCTTGGCCTCTGCTTTTGCCTTGGGTGAGTTGTTTCCCAGAGTCCCGCTCCTGCAGCCACGTTCCTCCCCAGCTTGGTTCAGCTCAACTCAGCTGTGGTGCCAGGAAGACACTGGGGCTTTTCAAGAAGAAACCCCGCCTTCTTTTCTCAGAATGCAGAGATGGCCGGGGCTCTGGGCCTCTCTGGTCTTTCCTGGAAACACCATATGGCCTAGTTCTGATGGGCTCACATGGAAAATGACATTTGCCTTGGATGTGATGAGTCCACAGAACCTCCCTTCTGGCTCTCGTTTGTTCCAGCATTTCTGAGCTGACCCCCCTGCCACCCTACCCCTGGTGTTGAGCACTGGAGACATAGCAGGCCTCAACCCTCTTGGAGATCATAGACCAGGGAACACATGGAGGGGTCAAAAACAAAAGCGATCAGGAGGGCCTCAAATGCCTCAATAAGGAGGTATGGTTTTGAGATGGAGTTCCAGGATTTGGCATGTGGAGTGGCTGAGGCATGGAGGACAGCTGGTAAGAGGAGAGTGATCATCCCTTTCTCCCAGTGGGAGCACTCACTTTTCCCCTCTGGGATGGGGCAATCAACAGCTGCTGGTCTTTGTGTAGCATCCCTTCTGAGAATGAGGGTTCCTTTGAAAAATGACTCCACCTCAACCACCCACGCCGTATGGGTCTGGTGGGGCTGCCAAACACAGTGTCATGTCCAACCTGACTTCCACCACGGTAGAAAACAGATGACCCAGGTTCAGCCAATCACAGTGCCTCAAGACCTGGCTTTGGTGATTGATACAAGGCAGTGCTTTGCAACATAAGGCTGTACTGAACCCCATACCTCTGCTGCTTGAAAAGCAGGGTGGCAGTTTTATTTTTGTTGTTATTAGATTGGGGAGCATGTCTGACATTTAGTGGCCAGGGTGCCAAACATCAGCAGCACCCAAGACAGTGTCTTGTAACAAAGAATTGTCCTACTCCAAAGGCCAATACACTTTGTTGAAAAACCCTCACCTAAAGGATGGGGCCTGGTCCCAACTGGACCCAAGTCTATCCCTTGGGTTTTGTCTAAGAATGTCTGGCAAGAAAAGGCCTCTTTCTCTGGGTTCCCTAGCTCAAGGTGAGCCTGAAGCACCTTGGCCCTTCCCTCTATTCTGTAATGCACACAAGAAGATGTCTGAAGGAGAGAACAAGGCCAACACAGAGAAAGGCTGGGATGAGAGATGGAGACGAGAGTGTGAGATAGCCAGTGACATCATCTACCCTTGTCCTTTTCTGTTATGACAGCCAAAACATTTTTTTTTCCTCTTTCAAGTCAGGTTCCTTTCTCTTGCAACCCAAAGAATGGGTTACTCCAGTCCCGTGGCTGGGTGTGATGTCTCATACCTGTAATCCCTGCACTTTGGGAAGCCAAGGTGGGCAGATCACTTGAGCCCAGGGGTTTGAGACCAGCCTGGGCAACATGGTGAAACCTCATCTCTACAAAGAATAAAAAAAAAAATAGCTGAATGTGGTGGCATGCACCTGTATTCAGCTACTTGGGAGGCTTACTTGGAGGATGGCTTGAGCACAGGAGGTTGAGGCTGCAGTGAGCTGTGACTGTGCCACTGCACTCCAGTCTGGATGACAGAGAGACATCTTATCTCGAAATTTTAAAAAATACATTTAAAAAAATTTTTTTAAGAATCCTAATAATTCTGAGGCTTCAGGAAGCAATGTTCCTTCTCTGATGATGGATGTAGGAAATACAAATTTTAGAAGGCAGCTTCAGCTCTCTATATTCTCCCAAACCTCCCTCCACACTGTCTACAAGCAGGAAACAGCTCCAGGGAAGGATTGCACAGCAAACTCGTGGCAGGAATCATTGGAAGTCAGGTCTCTTGCCTCAGAGCTTGGAACAAATACACTACCCTTGTTTAATAAAATCAAATGTAAGCTCCTGTCATTGGGGTCGGGATGTAACTATGTCCTTAATAACCCATTTGGCATTCAGGGGAAGGTACACAAAAGGAAACTTTGTCTGGGTCCACTGGGAACTTTCAAGCCGGTTGGGGCCACCACTGCTGCCCAGATCCTGTTGATTTGGCTGAAAAAGTGGGATATTCAGATGAAACTGGGAACACAGGATGCTCAAACTAAAGGGCAGGGAATTTCAAGCCTGCTACAGTTCACCCTCTTCTCCTGGGTTTTCCAGGTGAGGCAGTGAAACTGCTCTCTGAGACCTCCCATTTCCTCCACAGAAGACCATCAGGAGATAGTTGGCATCCTTCTTTGGCCCAGAGCATTCTTAGCGGTGCCTTGTGGCCAGGACTCTATTTTATTTATTTTTTTGGAGGCGGAGTCTCACTCTGCTGCCCAGGCTGGAGTGCAGTGGTGCGATCTCGGCACACTGCAACCTCTGCCTCCCAGGTTCGAGCAATTCTCCTGTCTCAGCCTCCCGAGTAGCTGGGATTACAGGCGTGTGCCATGATGCCCGACTTTTTTTGTATTTTTAGTGGAGATGAGGTTTCCCACCATGTTGGGCAGGCTGGTCTCAATGGCCAGGACTCTATAATTAGATGAAGATGGGATCTTCTGCCCTTACCATTAAGTTGGAAGGATGTATGCAAGGCTGGTACTTGCCTGACTTAGATAGAGGGGAGGCTGTGCTGCAGAAAGCAGGGAACCTGCTCACCTTTAAGTGCTTTTCTGATACTGAACTGTCAGAGCTCCTGGATCCTCTGGCATGCCCACTATTCACCAGCCCTGCCTGCCTTCCCCCTCCCCATTACACAGACAAAAGTCACTGTCAGGTATTTGTTGCAGCAGAATAAAGTCTTAATTGTTGTAGGTATGGAAGGGATTCAAACTAAAGCTATTTGACAACACGGTACAAAGAAATTCAGCTTCTGACGTTATCTCCCCATCTCTAAATACCAAATACGCTCACAGGCTCTCTTTCCTCTCCCCTCTTTCAGTTGATTTCTCCAAATGCTTGGGTTCCTGCAGGAAATTTTTTTAGTGTTTTTGAATGTTCTGTTTTGCTTTGTTTTCACTTGAACTTTTGTTATGAATGTCCAACTTTCAATGCACTAGGAACCATGGATTTATCCTTTATTTTCTGCCTCAGAGGGACTTCTTGAGGTTTCTTAATTTATGATCAATTTTGTAAGTGTCCCATGGATACTGGAAAAAGGAAGAAGATTCTGTTTTTTTGCGCATGTGAATTTGTGTGTGAAGAGCTGTGTATATGTGTGTGTACATTTAATCTTGGTAGTTATTCTTGCTTACTTTTTTAGTGCTTCAGTTGCCAAACAGAGTTGTATTAAGCTCTCTGCAGTACTGCTGTGCTTCTGTTGAATTCTCTCATCCAATGTGAATGCTGTTGTTTGGATGTATAGTTTTAAATGTGCAAGTGAATGTGTGTGTGTATGTTTGTAGAATTAAACTTGTTCAGGTCTCCTACAAAGAGGCCACATGGCCATGTGCCCCATGTCTTATGGCCTTGTTTTTATGTTTTTGTTTTCTTTCGTTACACTTTTTCAGAACATGTGATTAAACAGAAATTTGAGCCAAGAGGAAGGGGTAGTGGCAACCTATTGAAAATCCTCACTTTGTCTTGACCACAAGGGAATCTTGCTGACTGACCAAGGGAAAAGCCAGGCTCTCCCTGAGACAATGCAACTGAATAGGGCCAACTGACAGGGAGGAAGAGTAGAGGACAATAGTGAAGCCATGCACCTAGCCAGGCAGGCAGCAGACAAGGGCAGATTGACATAGGACATGTAGCCTGTCAGCTCTGAAACTCTACCAAGAAAGCACGATGTTTTAACAGACAAAAAGAGAGTGGCAGTGGGTACTTGAATAGCACATGAGGGAGGTTGGTCTGCATGGAGCAGAAACTCCCCCACTGGGCGCAATTTGGGCCTGGGATTCCAATCTTGGAGGGAGAATGGTAAGAGGGAGGTTGGGCCAAACTTGGCGGAATTGTGGATAACACAAGGGATCACAGCAGAAGTGTAGGACACAGGCAGAAGCCTAGTGGAGGCTGTGTCGCAGGAAGGCAGGCAGAGACTGTTTAATGTCCAGGTGTCTGAGGACAGGATTAGTGCTGAGAACTGCAGCAAATGGAGCCACAGCCTGTAGCTGTGGCACTGCCTCTCAGGACAAGAGAGAAGATGCTCAAGCCTGCTGGCCCACAGCCCTAACTCAGGGTCCAGGAAGTCTGAATCCCATTTTAGTTCTCTGATGAGGAAGGGAGGGTGCTGAAGGCCGGAGGATGTGTCTCCAGGGAAACAGGTAAAGCAGTGGGGAGTTGGGAGAGCTTAATGCACCTCTTTCTGTCTTTGGCAGATCAAGCAGTCAAAAAATTAAAAAGGATTAGCTACTAGGACTAAATAAACACACACATACACATTCACACACAAATTAAATACACAAACACACACAAGTTAATGTGCACAAAAAATAGAATCCACTTCTGTTTTCTAGTATCCATAGGACATTTATAAAAATTAATCCTAAAATAAGAAATACACTTCCCAAAGCCAAAAAAAAAAAACAGTATTTATCCACAGGTCAAATTCTATATCCATAGTGTATTTAAAATTAGACATTCACAACAAAAATCTGTGTGAAAACAAAACAATACAAAACACAAAACAAAATAAAACAAAACGTTTTCCTAAAGTAACCCAAGCATTTGGGGAGACCAGCTTGAAAGATGGGGATGGGGATAGACAGCCTGTGAGCATATTTTTAATGTTTGAGAAGCTGCAGAGACAATGCCAGAAGTTGAATTTCTCTGGTACTGTATTGGCAAAATAGCTTTTGTTTCGATCCTCTTTGATACCTATGCCAGTTACAATTGTATTCTGCTATGGCAGAGAACTTGGTAGTGATTTTTAAGTTCATCTGTGTAATGGAGGAGGTTAGGTAGTACTAGTTTTGTTCCTGGTCATTAGTTGATTGACCTTTCCGTAGACAAAAAGTAAAAATACAGGGAAATGTATCTTCCTAAATGCATTTATGAGATGGCAAGAAAATAGGAGACTCTCAGGCCAAAATTCTAAGTGAAAGAAAGAACTCAGGAGCACTGCAACTGGCTGTTGTTCTTATGGCATTTACTGAACCAGATGAACTTGAGCTTCTGTTGTCTGGTCTCACAGGGCACAGGAAATGGGAGACAAGATCAGGGGCCATCCAAGGCCCCTGGACACTTCCACCATAAAGATGAGACCCCCCCCAAGGTTTACACTTCCAGTGAAAGGGTGAACCAGAAACAACTACTAATCTTCAACTGCTGGGAGGATGTAAAAACCCAGCTGCCTAGCCGAAAAGGAGAAATAATGTCATCACTGAGAATTCGGAACCACAAGCTCTCTGTCCCCCATGGTGCTTAAAGCCCGAATTCATGTTACCTATATGGTTCCAACAATAAACAAATTAAAAAACTCAAGTCTGGAAGGCTGAGGCGGGTGGATCACCTCAGGTCAGGAGTTCAAGACCAGCCTGGTGAAACCCCATCTCTACTAAAAAAGGAAACAAACAAACAAACAAAAATTAGCTGGGCGTGGTGGCTCAAGACTGTAATCCCAGCTATTCAGGAGGCCGAGACATGAGAATTGCTTAAACCCGGGAGGCAGAGGTTGCAGTGTGCTGAGATAGTGCCACTGCACTCCAACCAGGGGCACACAGTGAGACTCCTTCTCAAACAACAACAACAACAACAGCAACAGAACAACAACAACACAACTCAAGTCAATAATTTAGAGTAATAAAAGACTGGTAGTGGTCCAGGTGGCAAAAATAAATGCAAATCCTTGATAAAACTTACTTAGAAATAAATTTAACAAATGTTATGAAAGACCCCTGCCAATAAAAACTACAAAACATTGTTGAGAAAAATTAAAGATTGAAATAGATGAAGAAATATACCATGCTCATGGATGGGAAGACTCATATTGTAAAGATGTCAATTCTCCACAAATTGATTTATAGTTCAGTGCAATTCCAATAAAAAGCATAGCAGGGTTTTTGTAGATATTGACAAACTAGAACTAAAATTTACTTGGAACTATAAATATCTTAGCATAGGCAAAACAGTATTGAAGAAGAACGAAGCTGGAGAACTTGTTCTACCTGATTTTGAGACTTACCATAAAGTATAGTAATCAAGTCAGTGATGTTGGCATTAAAATAAACCGAAGACCAATGGGGAAAAAAGAGAGTCCATAAATAGATCCACAAATATACAAATGGTTTTTGACAGTCACCAATGCAGTTCATTGGGGAAATTTTCTTAACAAATCTTAATGAATTATCCTGGATCAACTGGATGTCAGTATAGAACAAACTGAACTTTGATTCACACCTCACGTCATACGTAAGATTTAATTCAAGATAGCTTAAAGACTTAGATGAAGAAGGTAAAACTATAAAATAACTAGAAGAAGGACATATAGGAGGAAATCTTTGTGATTGAGGGTGGGGCAGTGAAAATATTCTGCATGATACTCTCACTGTATATTCATCAAAACACATAGACAATAACAGTGAATACAAAGGTGAACTACTGACTTTGGGTGGTAATGATGTGACAGCGTAGGTTCATTGACTGTAACAAACGTACCTCTCTGGTAGGAGGCATTGACAGTGGGAGAGGCTGTGAGTGTGGGTGAAGTCAGGGAATACATGAGAACTATGTAATTTCACATCAATTTTGCTGTGAACCTAAAACTGCTCTAAAAAATGAAGTTTATAAAAAAAAGACAAAAAAGACAGATTACTTACAAAGGAGAAACCATTAGACTACCATCTAATTTCACATAAACAACAATGGAAGGCAGAGACAGTGAAATGATACGTTCAATTGTGGAGAGAAAACAATTATCAACCTAGAATGCTATGTTCAGTGAAAACATTGTTGAAAAATGAGGGTTAAATAAAAACATTTTCAGTCGAACAACAACTAAGATTATTTGCCACTGGTAGACTCTCACTAAAAGAAATTTTAAAATATAAACTTCAGGAATAATAACAGTGATTTGAAGTAGAAAGTCTGAGAGGTAAAAAGAAAAACGAAGATCAGAGAAAGTGGTTAAAAAGTGTTTGTACGTGTGAAAAAAAGCTTATCATCACTGGTGAGATACCACAATGAGATACCATCTCATGCCAGTTAGAATGGCGATCATTAAAAAGTCAGGAAACAACAGATGCTGGAGAGGATGTGGAGAAAAAGGAATGCTTTTACACTGTTGGTGGGAGTGTAAATTAGTTCAACCATTGTGGAAGACACAATGTGTGTGTGGCGATTCCTCAAGGATCTAGAATTAGAAATACCATTTGACCCAGCAATCCCATTATAGGGTATATACCCAAAGGATTATAAATCATTCTACTATAAAGACACATGCACCTGTATGTTTATTGTGGCACTGCTCACAATAGCAAAGACTTGGAACCAACCCAAATGCCCACCAATGATAGATTGGATAAAGAAAATGTGGCACATATACACCATGGAATACTATGCAGCCATAAAAAAGGATGAGTTCATGTCCTTTGCAGGGACATGGATGACACTGAAAACCATCATTCTCAGCAACTAACACAAGAACAGAAAACCAAACATCATATGTTCTCACTCATAAATGGGACCTGAACAATGAGAACACAGGGACACAGGGAGGGGAACATCACACACAGGGGCCTGTCGGGGGTGGGGAGCTAGGGGAGGGATAGCATTAGGAGAAATACCTAATGTAGATGATGGGTTGATGGATGCAGCAAACCACCATAGCACGTGTATACCTATGTAACAAACCTGCATGTTCTGCCCATGTACTCCAGAACTTAAAGTATAATTTAAAAAGAAAGAAAGAAAGAAAGAAATGTGACCTCCAATGTTGGAGGTGGGCCTAGCAGAAGGTGTATGAGTCATGGGGGTGGAAAAAAAAGTGTTCGTAAACATGTACACACTTATTTTCTCTTGATATCCTTGCCTCTTTGCAATGTGATTTTGCAGTTCCTTTTTATCAAAAAAAATGGAGTCTTTTTCCCCACCCTTTGAATTTGGGCTCAGCCCCAGTTCATGCCCAAACCAATGGGATATGGTAGAAGTGATGTTGTGCCAGTGGATGTTTTTTTGTTTTGTTTTGTTTTTGAGACAGGGTTTCACTCTTGTCACCCAGGCTGGAGTGCAGTGGTGTAATCATGGCTCACTGCAGCGTTGACTTTCTGGGCTCAAGCGATCCTCCAACCTCTCAGCTTCCTGAGTAGCTGAGACTACAGGTGTGAACCACTATGCCTGGCTAATTTTTGTATTTTTTGTAGATAAGTGGTTTTGCCATGTTAACCAGGCTGGCCTCAAACTCCTGGGCTCAAGCCATCGCCCCATCTTGGCCTCCCAAAGCGCTGGGATTACAGGCATGGGCCACCATGCCTGGCCGGTGCCAGTTCTAAACCTAGACTCAAGGCTCTTGCACGCTTTCATTCATTATCTTGGATAATGAATGTCATGTTATCAAGCCTAGGCTAGCCTGCTGGAGGATGAAAATCCACATGGAGGAGCTGATCTAGCTCATTACCCTCTTCCACCCCCTTCCACCTGACAACCGACTCATAAGTGAGCTCAGTGGAAATCAGCATAAATTGGCCTAAACCTGAAAAACTGTCCTACAGTCTCATGAAAGATGATATATGGTTATTATTCTAAGCCACTAAATTTTGAGGTGGTTTGTTTTTCAGTTAGGAGCACCAAGAATTAGCAATAGCTAATAATGGCAGAAGTCAATAATGTCTTGTAGGTTAGAAAATAAGATAGAAATAAAATATGCAACAATAAATAGGATGGACAAATGAGCAGAATAGAAGCATTCTAAGGTGAATAAAAATAGATTAATTTTTCTCATATAATAAGAAATAAGCATTATGGAGCTGGTGCAGTTATTCAAAGTGAATAAAAAATAGATTAATTTTTCTCATATAATAAGAAATAGGCATTATAGAGCTGGTGCAACTGTTCAGGAAATTTATCAAAAACCTAGACTCTCTCCATTTTTTCTCTCTACAGTCCTCAGTTTTGGCTATCGCCTTTATGTTTACAAAATGGCTGCTGTACCTCCAGGCATTGCAACTGTGTTCCAGGGAGAAAGAGAGAATATGATGAGTCTCTTCTTTTTTTAACTAGGAAGTATCTTTTGTACAGGCTCCGCCTTGTGGAAAGTAGATTTCTGTTTACATGTCACTGGCCAGAACTCTTGTCACATGGCCATACCTAGGTACAAGGAGCCTGGGAAATTGACATATATATTTTTTCTAGGTGATCTGCTTTCCCAAAGAAAAACAGGACTCCATTATAAAGCAAATGTAAGAATGGGTGTAGTTTAGATGACAAGCAGTCTCTGCTCTCTATTTTGGAGAAATCCTCTTACTTAAGGAACTAATCCAAAAGGAAAAGCAAACAATGTCCTTGGCATAAAGATTAAGAGACAACATTACACAGGGTACAAGGCACTGGAGTGAGACTCCTAGTCCTAGCTCTGCAGCTGACTTGCTGGGGAACTGATCCTCAGTTTCCTTCCCTTTAAATTAAGACATTGGAGTAAATAACATGTAAGCATTTTAAACAACAAGTAAGTCTGTAAAGACTGAAGGGAATTAACATTTATGACAGATTCCTTAATGTGCAATAGCTCATTTAGACCTCACAACAGTATCTCCCTTTACCCTGGGGGATGCTAAATCTCAAAGCAGTCAAATAGTGTTCCCAGACCCACATCTAGTGAGTGGCAGCCAGAATTTCAAGTCGGGTCTGTAGGCCTCCAAAGCCAGAGGCTTCTTTCTACTGCCCATCCAACCTTTCTCAAAAGGCAAATAAGGTCATGCATTTTTATTTACTGAATTTTAAGTAAAGCAGTGTCTTTTGAAGCGGGCCCAGTGCCACTTGCAGCAGAATCACCTGGGATGTCTATTACAAATGCAGATTCCTGAACCTTCTCCACATGAACTGAAGCAGACTTGCTAGGGCCGAGGGAGACCCAGGAATCTGTATTATTACAAGCTCTCCAGGTAATTGGAGAGACTTTACAATTTGGGAACCATGATTTTAAACTAATAATTTAGTGTTCCATTCTAGTGTAGTTTATTTATGGATCTGTGGCTCATGGAAATTTCCTCCTAGTATCAGGAAGATACAACTTAAAAATAGTCTGTTTTTCCTTCCTATTGTATCCACTGAATTCCACGGAAAATGTTAAGGAACTGGAGGTGTGATTAACACTGATTAATCTAGGCTCCGTACGTCAAAGGCACAGACTGACATGAACATACATGCTGATTAGAATCATACAGAGCTGGAAGGGGATGGGCAAAGAAATGGCATTAGCTAAATATTTACTATGTTCCAGACACTGTACCAGACACATTACGTCATTTAAGGGGCCCAAGACAAGTGATTCAATCCCTTTTATTTATAAACGGGGTAGGTACTATTATTATTTACATTTTAGAGATGAAGAAGCTAATGGCCAGAGAAAAACAGTCACTTTCTGAGATCATTCATTCATTCATACAATAAAAATCTCATTAGCTCTTATCTTATGAAAGACATTGCAAATAGAGCAGCAAAAAGGCAGTCTAGGGACCTCAGGTGGCACAAAGTCCACCAAATCTCCATTGAAGAAACTGGAACTGAGAGGGCAAATTGGGACTGGAGCCTGCCAGAAGCCATCTCTCTGGAATCCCTCAGCCTGAGCAAGAGGGGAGTTTGCTGCTGAGGCTGCTGGAGCTGCGGTGTAGAGCAAGTTGCAGGCCTCTGAGCCTGTTGGAGGTTCAGAAAGGTTAGCTGACTTGCTTAAGTAAGTGTCCTAGACAGGAGGGAGAAAGCGCGCGGGTCTCAGATCCCAGCTCCAATATCCACGCCTTTTCCCTTTTCATCTCCCGGAAGGAAGCCTTCACAGGTGGGGAAAATGCTCACCCAGTGACTCTAAAGTAGTGCACAAATTGGCATTAATCAGAACCATTCTGATTCCTGCTATCAAGGTTTATTTAATTCTAAGCTCAAATGACACAGAAAATAAAATTTCCTCCTTAAAAGGTTCTGCGGAAAAATATTCTCTGTTCTACGTAACAGCCTCCTTGGCTGTGTTTGTGTCTGAAGAAAGGACTAGTCTGACAGGAAGAATTACAAATCTGGAGCTCATTTTGGCGTCGCAGAGGGAAGGTGGGTGGAGCGTCTCGCAGTAAATTAGGAATTCAGAATGAAAACGTAGAGTTTATTTGGGTTTTTAGTGACACCTCAGGATTATTATACAGCAGTGTCAGACACAGCTCAAAGTAATGATGACTGCTCCCCCTCCGCCCCGCGGGAGCTGGGTGCTAAGAAGGGGGAACCCCTCCTTTGAGGGGTTGGGGTGGGGATCCTCCCTTTCCAACCTGGATCGGGAAGGGGTTTGAGAGGAGTGCGGCTTGGATCCCCATCCTGGATCTGTGCTGGAGGGAGGCGGGAGGCTATTTGGGGGTGTGTTTGGGCTCAGGATCTGGGTCTGACGCTGGGATCTGAGGACTTTCTGGGTTTGGAACTGGGTGGGGGAGCTGGGTTTGGGGTGACCGCTGGGAGCAGGAGGAAATAGGAGAGTGAGTCGCATGTGAAGGGCACTGAGGAGGGATCTTCGGGGGAATGCTGAAGTTGATGCGTGGACTTGGAGAGGGGAAGTTGAAGTGGATGCAGGGGCCTGGCGCTGCAGCGGATCTGGGTGGCATGTGCTGGGATTGCCAATGCGGAGCTGTGAATGGGGTCAGGGTGGGGCTGAGGCAGTACCAGATCTTCCGCGCCTAGAGGAGGTTAGAAGAAAAGAGCGTCGAACGGCCACAGCCTTTTTCCGAAAGAGACTCACACAGACACACCCATCGCTCTACCCGGCCCTCCGGGGCTAGCGGCTGAGCGGTGCTGGGGCTGGCAGACCCCGCCCCCACGCGGCCTCTCGGAGCCGGGAGCCGATCGGGCCGGGGCTGGGGTCTGGCGGCCCAGCCCCCGGGGAGCGTGGGGCGTGGCCAGAAACCGGCGCTCGCGGCTGCGGATTGGCTGCCTGGCGGGCCCGCAGGCGGGGCTCCCGGCTGGGTCCCGCTTGGCAGCTCGCGGCGGCGGGGAGGCGGGGCCGGCGGGAGCCCGGCAGCCAATGGACGCGCGTCCTCCGAGCAGTTACAAAGGGCCGGAGCGAGGCCGCCGCGGCGGCTAGGGAGGTGGGGCGAGGCGAGGTTTGCTGGGGTGAGGCAGCGGCGCGGCCGGGCCGGGCCGGGCCACAGGCGGTGGCGGCGGGACCATGGAGGCGGCGGTCGCTGCTCCGCGTCCCCGGCTGCTCCTCCTCGTGCTGGCGGCGGCGGCGGCGGCGGCGGCGGCGCTGCTCCCGGGGGCGACGGGTGAGCGGCGGCGCGGCGGGCGGGCGACTGCGGGGCGCGCGGGCCGGACCCGGCCTCTGGCTCGCTCCTGCTCTTTCTCAAACATGGCGCGGGGCCGGGGGCGCAGGTGGCGGCGCCGGGGCCCGGGCCGGGCTCTCGTGGCGCCGCGCGGCTCGGCGGCTGCCGGGCGAACCGCAAGCGGGGAGCGGAGGCGGGGCAGGGGCGTGTGTCCGGGCGCGGGCGGACGTGTCCGGCTGCCCGAGGCCGCCCCGCTCGGGACTCCCCGGGGAGGTGGAGTCGGGCGGAGTCGTCCGAGGTCCGGGGCTGCCCTCTGGGGTGTGAGTGGGCGAGGGCCAGGGGCGGAGAGTGCGAGGCCGGCGGGGACTGGCAGAGCCGTGGCTGCCCGCCGCCGCCCCCTGGGCACGGCGTGACCTTGTTCTGGGGACCCCCGCCCCAAGAGGGTCCGTGCCAGAGGCTGCCGAACCCGGGGCGGGGTTTGAGGTTGGGGTGGAAGGCGGCTCCCGGGCGGGGTGTGAGCTCCGAGCCTCTAGGGCTTCGTCCAGTGGGAGTCGGGGGCGACGTGTGGTGAGACCCCTGGGTCCGCAGGCCGCCCTGACTCCCGCCCGGCTCGACCCGAGCCGACCCTGCTGGAAGGGGCTGCTCCTCCAGCCAGGGGGGCTTTGTGTGAGAAGAAGGAAGCGCGGAGATGCGCGGAATGTTTCTTCTTTCGTGCGTCTGGGGAGTGTTGAAGTGAGTCCAGTAACCAGACGGCTACGGATTGTTTTCATAGTGGAAACTTGAACGTTTGCTCATTCTGCGGGTTTTGGAAATTTTGGGAACGACTGTGAATTGATTAAACGCTTTTTATTTCCTCGAAGGAACATCACTCACGTTGTTCCTTTTCTTGAGTGACAGTTAATAGTTTGATTCAGACATCTGTATAGCTGGTTTTCAAGGAAGACTGTTGGCTGGATTTTTCAAAATAGTAAATCAGGTTGGGGTAGGTGGTTGGTATCCACAAAGGGATGAGTGAAAAACTTCGTTAGCAGCTGAACTGAGACACTAGAAGCTAAAATACACAGCCTCAGTGTTAGCAACTAAAATGCAGTGAAAGTACATTTCTGTTTCTGAAACTGGACAAAAGATGTTGAAATTTTTTTAAAAAATCAAGACTGACGGTGACGATTATAATCAGTCCTAATAGCTACCGTCTATGTATTGTGCATTACTACGATGTAAATGCATACACTATTGTATAATTACATTATTTAATCACCACAAGTAAACTCCCAGGAGTAGTGGCATTTGCCCCACTTTACAGATGTGCAAAGTGGGGTACAGACACGTTAAGTACCCAATAACTTAAGTGCTAAAGCTAGGATTTTCACTCAGATCTCAGTTTCCCAAACCTGTATGTCATATATATATATAAATATGTATACATCATACTATCTGGCGTAGCCCATTTTTCTTCTTCAGTCGTCTGATGAGCAATTGGTCTTTATTATCCACTTTGGATTCTGTCCTCATGATTTGAGTATCAGATAGGCTTCATTCCGACTCTTAGCACATTGTTGAGTCCCTTCACGTGGGCCTGCATTAGAGGAAACAATGGATTTTTGACATTGGCCTAGGGAGGAAGGCAGGATAACTGTGTGGACATTTGGGAGAATCAGTATAGTTAGGCATGAAACACAGGTAACATTTCCACACCGCTATTAACTTGAATAACACAGTGCACTCTTTTCCACCAGAAGTAGCACAAGAAGCGTTCATGTATTCAAGTAACAGTAGTGGACTTAGTTGAAGACACAGAACATTGCTCAGTCCATGTCCTGGAGGAGTTTACAGTCTCCATGGTATGCACAAAATACAAAGCTGTCCAGGTGCTTATTACTCTAAGCCCAGACTGCCTCAGCTTGTCTGCCTCCCCTGTTGGTTATGATGATGCCTCAGTCCACCCTTAAAAAACATTCTGAAAAAGGTCAAATGCTTTTTATTTCCTCTGTAACTTGGCTTCCCTTTTAAAGACTTGCACCTTTTTATGTTCTGAGTATGTTTTAATGTTCTCTGCCCAACTTCTGTCTCCAACATAGGTTTCTCTAGGGAAATTGATTCCTTATCCCTAGTGCACAGTTTAGTACCACTATGTCTATATGTATATCCCATCTGAGAATGCTATTTGCTTCCTTTCTGCCATTTCATAACTTTTTTTCTTTGAAAACGTGCCCCCAATCCAACTCTTCTATGAATGCCTCTTGAATGTCTCCTCCTTTCTTGGTATGCAGCCTTCAGCTTAATCCTGCCTGTTATCCTCCAAATCTAGTTGCTTTCCCATGTTTTTCTCATCTAGGCTTTTCTATGGCTACTGCCAAACTAATCTTCCTCAGCCTTCCCCGTGAAGGTTTATAAGATTTCCCATTTGTATTCAGCACTTAGAACAACACTTAGCAGCTTATGATTGGGGCCATCTCTGAGTATCCTACCAGGGATCTCATTTCTCATTACTGCAGACCTTCGAGCAATTTCTCTTTCTCACTGACTCCTGACTGTTCAGCCTTTTCACTACACATTTAGTTTTGCCCCTTTTTTTGGGAGTGCGAGAAGTTCTCAGCCCTGACTTCCTGTGCTGGTTTAGTTCTTGAATTCTTTGTCTTCCAGAACTCTGCAACACTTAACAGTTTGTGTTGTCCATTTCTACTGCCTGTGCTGCTACTTAACTCTACTTGAATGCGTTATAGGTACCCAGAGGACAAGATTCATGCCATTTCTTTCTTTTGTGGCCTCAGAACTTAGCACTGTGTTTTATATTCTATTCCACATAAATGCTTGTTGATTTCTATTTGAGCATTCCTTTAATATTTATACTGTTTTATGTAAGTCCAGTTTATGCAATATTAACTTGTAATTCCGTATAAATAATCAGGAAAAGTTGTATGGCGTGTTGAAAGCAATTGGTTATTTGTCCTACCTTCACCAGCAGTTATGCAGAAAATGGGGCAATACCTACTTTTGCCTAATTCATGAGATTGTGAAGATCACATGAGAAAGTGGTATTTGAGTTTGAGGTTGCTATTCTGTGTTGTTGCTAAAGAGCAGGACTGATGTTCAATAAGCAGTTCCCACTGGGCCATGTGTGTTTTGGTTAAACATCCTTTCTGATTGGTTGGTACCCTTGTAGTGCCAGTTGTTAAATATTTTTAATATCATTTCTATAGGGAGGCATTAGTATTCAAAAAGGGAAATGATTAGTGTAAGCTGGAATGATTGGGGGAGGCTTCTTGGACACTTTAGGACTTACACTGACTTTGAAGGGTGGGTAGAATTCAGAGGGGGATTTGATGAGTGTGAAAGTTCTTTTGAAGTTGTGTCCCCAACTGTCCTGGGGCCTACTCCAAGGGAGGAAACAAGGCTTTTACTGACTGACTGGCAAGTTACTCTTCAGAGTTAGGTTCCTTATTCTGTACTGTGGAATTTGGATGTATTAACCTCTATCATTTTTTCCCCAATCCTAAAAGCTATAGTACATAGCTGGAAACAAAACATAAAAGTAATCAAAGTGGAATGAGTGAGGGAGAATAACATTATGGGATGCCCAGTAGGACTAGGCATTCAAATGGTGGAAGTCCTAAGTATATTATCACTTCAATTTACAGATGAAAAAACGACTCAGGTGAATTTCTTAGGGTGGCACAGGGGCAGAACAGAGACAGGAACTTTGATTTTCTGATTCCATATCTTGTGCCCTATATGGTGCTTTAAAATGTGAAGGACTTGGAGGTGGGAGTGGGACAGGGTTGGGATAGGTGGTTGGCATCCACGAAGGGATGAGTGACTTCCTTAAGTGAAGTAGGCCTTGAACTTCACAGAATTTATGAAAAGTGAATTCTAAAGGTGGAAGGGAGGGGGAATGATTAAAGCCTTAAAGTTCTCAAGGAAAAGGTCAATTTTTTTTTAATTGCTGATAAAAGGACCTGGTATATACTTATTGATTGAGAAAAGTAGGCCTATAGTAGTTTGGAAGATGGTCTTGAGTAAGTACAGTTAATTGAATTGGGGTGTAGTTAGAAGGCTTTGGTTTAGAATATTAGATGATCCGCTTTGTTGTTGAAATTAAGAGAGGAATTGACATAAAAATAATCAAGAGGAAGATAAATCTTGTTCCTGTGAGGAGGGCCGCTCATGTAGGGAAGACCCCTGTCAAAAGGTTCTAGGCCTTAGTTGAGCAGTTACAGGGACTCAACACCATTCTTGTAGTGTCATTTTATTGCACCAAATATGTTCATGTGTAATAAATGGAATTTTGAAAATGCCATTATCCTATGGATGGCCCTTCTGATGTGAGAACGTGTCTCTTCAAACCACAGAGCCCCTTGCAAATGTCGACACACCTCTTGCCTTTTGCAGTTCTTCCTTGGTCATGGCTTACGTAACACAGAGTTCTCTGAACAGATGGACTGTGGTTTGATATCATGTGATTGGGTCACATCTTTGCTTCCTGCTTTTGGAATTGAGGGCAGATGCTGGCATATTTCTCAGGGATTTTTTAATGCTTTGTCCCATAGAACTAGCTTGAGGAAAAGTTTTGGAGTCTTCTCAGAATTTATGGTCAGTTTTGACCCAGCCTAACTCCAATACTTAGGATTACATTTAATGCCATTCTTAGCTGAATTTTCTCAATGTCAAATCCAGGCAGTCTCCATAAACATTAAAATTGTTTACCACTCTGAATTAGATCCAATTTTATGTGTTTTGTTTGCTTTCCAGGTAAGTTTCTTATGGCTACCCTTCTTCATCATGAAGAAAATTGGTTGGTAGACTTGTAATTATTCATCTCAGACATCACTTTCTTAAATACTAGTGGACTAAGTTCAGTTGGTTTTATGGTCCAATTTTATAGATCAGATCAAGTCTTTTATAAAGCTGCTCCCTCAAAGAACAATTTCTAATCTAACTTAAAAAAAATTGACTTGCAAAGTATACACACAGGTTGCTTTGAAATTTCTTGAAGGGTTGCAAGAATATGCTACATATTCTATCTGTCTTGTCTCGTTTAATTCTCTCTTCTCTCTTTTTTTTTCTTTGACCATGGCTAATACGGCATCATTTAGTTCTCATAACCAACCTTGAATGGTAGTTGTATAGAGTACCAAAACTTCTTACTTATTTGCTGCTTAATTTCCAAACTCTTAAGCCCATTTGTTCCCAGATACAGGTGACCAGTGCTCAGAAGATAACTGTAGGTTTTGATAACATCGGCTCTACCCCAAGATTCTTTTCAACTCTAAACATTATCCAAAGGTGTTAGTATTTTTTCATCGTCTAATCGTAAATATATATATAAAAGAAAGACACTGCTTTGAATGGCACAGATGTAGACTAACAGTAGTTCAGCCACTGAGACTCAAATGATTTTGTATTACCATAAACCCCATCTGCCTGGGCAGGCAGAATTGACACAATTTTGCTCAGATTGGAACCTAGTTCATATCTATGAAAGAAGACCCTCTTTGTTTCCATTTTATAGACCAGGAAACTGAAGTTATGCTGTTAATGAAAGGTGGAGCCTTCAGTTAAGCACTCCAGGGTATGTACTCTTTTCCTATACAAATGCTCCTCTACTTATGATGGGGTCACGTACGTCCATGCTCCTTTCATATAGAGTAAATACATTGTTAGAGCCACTTCAGCAGGAAAGTTTCCTTTCCCTTTTTTGCAAACCATGAGAATTTGCTTCAGATTGCCTTGATTACAGTTTTACTATTTCTTTGCAACTGCAGGCCATTCAGATACTAACAGTCTTTCTTTAACATTATATTTTTAGGTAATTTGAATCTTCCTGACGAGTCCAGTGATAGTTGATCACTTACTATTTGTATTGATTTATACATATATTCATAGCAAATTCTTTTCTTCTAAAAGTTACATAAGCACAGGACTGAAAATTTGTATTAGAGAAAGGAAAAAAACCATCACCAGCCATTATTAACATTTGGCATATCCTGCACCCATGCTTTTTTTTTTTTTTTTTTTTTTTTTTTTTTGAGTATAAAAAACCATTCTTGGGCTGGGCACAGTAGCTCACACCTGTAATCCCAGCACTTTGGGAGGCCGAAGTGGGCGAATCACGAGGTCAGGAGTTCGAGACCAGCCTGGCCAACATGATGAAACCCTGTCTCTACTAAAAATAACAAAAAATTAGCTGGACGTAGTGGCAGGCACCTGTAATCCCAGCTGCTTGGGAGGCTGAGGCAGGAGAATCACTTGAACTCAGGAGGTGGAGTTTGCAGTGAGCCGAGATTGCGCCACTGCACTCCAGCCCGGGCGACAGAGTGAAACTCCATCTCAACAAAAACAAACAAACAAAAAAACAGCAACAAACCATTCTTTAATCATTCTATTTCAGCAGTTTATGAAAGCTAATAAAAGTGTTTAAATTGACAAACAGCTTCAGTTTACAGAGGAAAGAGCTTCAGTTTACAGAGGAAATAGCTCATCTATTCTTAGCAAATATTTAGTAGTGATCAACATGATGAGAAATATAGGAAAAGTAAGAGGCAGTCTTGCTTTTGAAAAAATTGATGCTGAGGAAATATGACTACAGACTCAGTACTAGCAACCACAGGGACTGCTTTACAGAGGAGGTAGGACTTGATCTCTCTGCCTTGCAGGAGGATAGGGCTTTGAGTGGATGTGTGGTGGAAAGGAGGCACTTCTTGGCTGGAGAGGATGGCATGTGTGGAGAAAGAGCATTCTAAGTTTCAGGATTTCTAAGAGGAGAAATGGAAGTTCATGGTGTAAAGGGTGGGCTCAGAGAATTATGGGCCTTGAAAATCAGGAGAGTGGTTTTAATGTGGAAAAAGAATGTCTAATTGTGCCGCAGAGGGAATGGATCAGGGTGGCTACCCAGTTGGTTTGATGGCATTGAGAACGGGGTGAAATGGTGACTGTATGACATTTGAAACAAAGAAATCAGAGGAATTAGTAGTAGGGCCTGTGTGTGGCTGTTCCCTTGCTTGTGTGCTCTTCCCTCACATACCTGCATGGCTTCCTCCCTCACCTCCTGCAAGTCTTTGCTCAGATGACACCTTTTTCTCAGTGAGGCTTATCCTGCCACCTTTTAAAATATTGTCATCATCCTACAGTGCTTTCCTTCTCTGTAACAATACCTTCTAACATACTGTATTTATTTACTTATCATATGTACTTATTTACTGTTTATTGTCTCCTTCCTATCATTCTATGCTTTGTGAAAGTGGATGTCTTCGTTTTGTTCACTAATGTATCTCAAGTGTATGGAAAGTGCCTGGTGCATCCTAGGCACTCAGTAAATATTTGTTGAGTGGCAGTAGGTCTTAGCTGTAAAGAGGTGGAGTACAGAAATTCAGAGTGACTCCATGAAAGAAAAAAGAATGACTCCAAGCTTTTTTAGGCTGGATAATGCCTTTAACTTAATGAGTAATTTGGCACGAGGATTAAGGGGAGACGAATTCTGGTTTAAGCATGTTGAGTTTGAGGTGAAGGTAGCCAAATAAAATTGCTCAGTAGTCAGCAAAGATTAAAAAAAAATGGAACCTAGTTGGAAATGGGAGAGCACCTTAAGCAAAGAAATGGCTACTAGCATCTAGCATTCACCTCATATTCTCTCTCTCTCTCTCTGTCTTTCTCTTTTGGGGGTAGGAGGATTCTAGTGTCCTAAAACGCTACCTTAAATGGAGTTTTTATTTAGACCCTGAAGTCCTAGCTTGTATCTGGAGTCCTGGTCCGTTTGCTGGGATATGGTTCTTTCCTGTTTTGCAGGTTCATGCTATTTTTCCCCCACCTCTCTTAGTAAAGATGTATATATTCAGAATTACTTGTGATCTTCTGGTTGTATTGAAATTAACCTTCAGACAGTGCTGCTTTCTCTGCAGTAATGCGTTTGATCTTTTGGGAGTGTGGTTCTTGGCTGAGATAAAAGAGAGGAAGTTTCCTGCTTGCGGCCTAGGCCTCAGGTCATGGTTGCTGATGTTACAGGTGTCAGCTTTACTATCTCCTGGAGCTCCCTGATGGCTATCCTTTTAAATGCTTTTCCTGTTGTTTTTCTCAATGAACCAAACACTGGTGCAGTTGTATCCCTAGACCATCTCTCTTTTTCTATTTGGATTGATCTAACTTAAGTTTTTCTTTCAGTTTTGAAGGCAGATTAAATTCATGTGACTTGGTTGTCAGAAATTTAATGAAATATTTGTTTATAGGAGTAGTATATAAGCACCAACATATCTGGCTGTAATTAGAGTCTAATCAGTGTATCTGTGACTCACTTTTCAAAAGAGGATAGTTCCTAATTTACCTGATCGTTGTGAAGATAGTGTACAGTAGTATTTACACTTAGTACATAGCCTGACACCAGTAGGTGTTCAATAAAGGGGAATTATTATATATTTAAATAAGTGAAAGAATGTCTTCTGAAAGAAGAAATACATGTCTGTGTAATGAAGAACTAGAATTAATTGGTAGACTGAAAGGCAGAATTCAGCTCAATGTAAGGAATGACTCTCTACCATAGCTGTCAAAATGGAACATTGTAAGGTAGTATGTTCCCTGTCACCCTGGAACTATTCAGGCAGAGGCTAGATAACCTTCTGTCTGAGAAATTGTAGAAGGAATTTCTTACATTAGGTAGGAGGTCGGACTTGTTTATCTCTAAGCTCTGTTTCTCCTCTAAAATTCTGTACTTTTGGGCATAATCCAAGCTTCCTTGCTTACTGGTTTTAGCCAAATATAGTCTAAATATCCCTAGGATTCATGGCTTCAAGATGAGCAGTATCTTGTTGCTCCTGTATTATACGAGAAAAGTTAGTTTATCCATTGATTGGCTTTTATTTTGGTCATTTTCCAAAAAAGGATTTTGGAAGCTTGAAATAATAGCAAATTCAGTAAGACCAAATCTACTGACCACAAAAGATAAGAATCAGTAAGTCAAAAAGGGAAAGAAAAAGAGAACAATTATCCGTAAGTTTAGCTGAGGAAAGCTTTAGAAGTTGAACACAATACTTAGCTCTGAGTTTTCTGGTAACCAAGGCAAGTAAGGAAGACTGATAATTTGCATAGATCTCATTGCCTATCGAGAATTCATGAGGAGACTGCCACCTTCCTTAATAAAGTGGAGCCCCAAATGCCAAGATTGTCATACAGGGAGAATCTCCAAGTGGTAAGGGGTTATTGCTGGATCTGGCAATAATCTGATTCTTGTTCTGAGGCTTCCCCTTTAACACGTATTGAGGGTTCAATTTAGTGCTGCTGCCTCCATCTTTCTTCTCCAGTTTAAGTCTCTGATCCAAGTATGAACACATTAGTCTTTCCCTAATGCCAATGGAACAGCTGATGTAAGGCTAGGACATTTAAATCAAGCTTTGCTAAAAGCTGGAGGATAATGAATAGAGAGCAACATGAAACTATTTAGTCTGGCTTACAAAGACATTTTTCTCATGCCCTTATCTTTTGGTGTGTCTCCATTTGATACACTTCATCAGAGTACTGCTACCAAAGGCAGAGCCAGACATTTACCTTCAAACAGGTGCAAGTCAGTAAGATCCAGAGTGTCTTTGCTTGGGTTTCTTGTTTGAAGAACTGCTTCATTTCTGAGTAATGGACGTTCGGAATGATTACTTTAGGAGAGACCACACTTATCTGAGAGTGTGGCCCTACTGTACTGGTCTCACAGTAATCCCAGTATTCATGGAAAAGATAGGCACGTACATTAGCATGAGGGCATTCTGTGGTTAGAAGCATTCTGATTTCATTGGGAAAAACAAGCTTCTCTCTGTTCTTGAGCAGAAGCTTTTATAGAAGTCTTTGTACATGGGCCATTGAAAAATAAAGTGAACAATTCGGGTTTATCACTCATGATTTGTAAGGATTCACTTTTCCTTTTTTCTGCAGTTGCTGTACTACTTCAGGTCTGTTCCAGTGTTTCCTTGTTCTCACCACCAAGACTGAACCTCCTTATTTTTGTTCATTTGCTTCAGGAAAACCATTCCATCTAGATTTCCTAGGTGTAAACCTCACTGATTACATAATAGTGTATATTTATAGTTCTAGGACACCTTCTTCAGGCATCCTGTTACATTTCTACATTATAAGATTCTTAAATATGCATTGAATTACAAATAGGTCCCCAGGGAAAAGGCAAAAACGAATGGCTTTTTCTGCGAGAAACTAGGACTAATATAGATATTTGGGAGCACTGAACATGGAGGATAGAGTTAAACTTGAAAAGACATACAGAGATAGAAAAGCAGCAACTGCCCTTTCATTTGTATGCAAGCACACGATATATGTATGGGTTTTTTATTTTTTGCTTGATGTATTCATTTCCAAATCAAACTATAATGTGCTCTAATTGGGTCTCTTTGTTCAGCACGTGGTTGTTGATTTGAGTACTTTCTCCAGTTGAAAAACTGACATTTTAATTTTGTTATTCAATGTGTGATAGATTTAAATAAAAACACCCAAGATTGTGTATTGTAGATTTCCTTCAACAATAATTATATATAATTATTTTATCAAAATAAACAAGTTAAAGTAGTTTTAGTTATTTTGTCTCATTTTACATTTGGGAAAAAAATTACAAATCAGGGGCCAGAGTCTGGTCATGTTTGTCAGTGAGGAAAGACAATTTCTGATTGCCAGTCCCACCAAAGCGTTGGCAGATTAACACAGCATTGTAGATTACTTTCCTAGGAAGAGATGCTCCTTTTTTCTCCCTTTCCATTATTTTGCTTTCCTTCTTTCCATGGTGCATTGTCCTTTTGTTTTCTTCCCTCTTATTTCGATGCATGTATAAACTTGAGCCTTTCTGCTCTCACATTCTTTCTCCCCATGATCATAATTGTTTCTTCACTTTATTCTTAAAAAAAAAAAAAAAGGCCACATAAGTATTTTATGTAGATCTCATCTATCATTTAAGTTTTGTCAGATCCAGCCTGCTCTTGCCTTACCATGGGAGAAGGGAAAGGAGGGAGGAGTTTTAAGGGATTTTAGGCATCAGGCAGAAGTCTTAAGGGAAAACTCTGCGAGGACCAACAGGCTCAGAATTAGCTGTGCATTGCAAACAGATGGTGTGTCCCTGAGGAAATAGCGTAGTTGCCCTAAGCAATTGGGTGCTTCCATCTGATTTAGCTTAGTCTCTGTAACTGGGAAAAAGGAAAATCTTATGGAAGAAATGAGTATAATCACCTGTGAACCATTCTAAACTATTATCTAGAGACTAGTGATTATTGACTTACATATAGATTTCATAATTCTGCAAGATAGTCTTCGGTGTTGTATCATCAGTTATCCAAGGTATAAATAACATCAAGACCCTTATGCCTCTGAGCCTGATAGATCCTTATCTTTTAATAACCAACCCCCCACTTTCTTCAGTAGCCATGATGCTACTGTATCAATGCTACCAGCAATTGGAAACCCATATTCCTAATGCCAAGTCTCGGCATGTAGATTTTGAGGTCTGAAAACTTTATTAGCTTGGTTACAGTACATCTCAAGCCTAAGTTTTCATATACACATAGTTTAGTCTCAAAGGGCAAATGTTTCCCTGAAAGGAGTTCAGTCAACACTAGATGCTTATATCTTTAGGCTCCAAGGGAGTCCAAAATTTAATGATTAAAAATATTATAAAAATGCAAATATAGAAATAATACAAAAGCTCCTTCCTTTTGGTGGGCTTTTCTGTCCTTGCTTGGTTCAATTCAGCTGTGTTCTTCTAGGAGACTGCAACCACAATTTAACTGCTTTGCTTTGGTATTTTGTTTGACAAGGGAGATGAATGTTTCAGATGAGACGGAGTCTCACTGTTGTCACCCAGGCTGGAATGCAGTGGCGCGATCTTGGCTCACTGCAACCTCTGCCTCCTGGGTTCAAGTGATTCTCCTGTCTCAGCCTCCCGTGTAGCTGGGATTACAGGCATCTGCCACCACGCCTGGCTATTTTTTTTTTTTTTTTTGTATTTTTAGTAGAGATGGGGTTTCACCGTGTTGGCCAGGCTGGTGTCGAATTCCTGACCTCAGGTGATCTGCCTGCCTCGGCCTCCCAAAGTATTGGGATTACAGCGTGAGCCACCGTGCCCGGCCTTCAATTTTTTGCTTTAAGTTAGAATCCTGTTTGCTTACTTTTTCTGACCCAAATGTTTTAAAAATGTTTTCCTGTGTTTTCATTTAAAAGATTGGTTTTACCTCTCACATTGAGATGTATCTGGAGTTGGTTATTTATTATGGTATGAGATTTTTATTATTTTTAAAATACGGATATCTGGTTGACTCAGAACCATTTATTGGTAAAACCTTTTTTCCCCCAGTGTACAATCACCTTCATCATAAATCAAGAGGTTGTATATGTGAGGGTCTGTTTCTCTGTAATCTCTGTTCTGTTTGCCCATTTGTCCTTGTGCCATTACCATACTGTCTTAATTATTATGATGTTAGGAGTCTTGATATCGAGTAGTGTTAAGTCTTTCAAAGATTGCTTTGGTTATTCTTGCGATGTTGTTTTTCCATATAAATTTCAGAATCAACTTGTCAGTTCCCACTGAATAAAAAAACCCTGTGGGGATTCTGATTTGATTTTATTGAATCTACAGATCACTTTATGGAATATTGACCTCTTTACAGTATTGAATCTTCCAGTTAGGAACTTGTCACTTTTCTCCATTTATAAATACATTTTAAAATTTTATTTTATCTCCTTTGTAATTTCTATCAATAAGTAATATTTTTTAAGCTTTCTCTGCAGAGGTCTTTACCTGTCTTTTGTTAGGTTTATTCCTAGTTTTTAGATTTTTAAAAAACGTTTTCTATTTATTACTGGTTTAAGAATGATTTTTTAATTTAATTTTTTTTGGTATAGTGAGTAACCTTATATTAGTGACCTTGCTAGATTGACTAATTGATTCTAATAGTTGATCTGTAGGTCACTTTTGGATTTTCCATGTACATAGTTGTCCTCTGCAAGTAATGATAGTTCTGTGTCTTTCCAGTCTATCTTCCTTTTGTTTATTTCTGACTTACTACACTCAGACTTCTAATACAATGTTGAGAAGTAGTGATGGATATCTCTTTCTTATTTGTGATTTCAAGGGAAAATGACAGTCATGCAACATTAAATGTAATGCCTACTTTTATGCCTTTTATTTAATCTGATTATTTCAGAATTTTTTTTAAATTCTGCAATTTACTGAAATTTTTAAATATCATGAATAGCTGTTGAATTTTATCAGTTTACTAAGATTTTTAAAAATCATGAATAGCTGTTGAATTTTATCAGTTTTTTTGTTTTTGTTTACATCACCTAAACTGCCAAACTCCCTTACTGTTTTCTTTCTTTTTTTTTTTTTTTTTTTTGAGACAGGATCTCACTCTGTTGCCCAGGATGGAGTGCTGTGGCCTGATCATGGCTCACTGCAGCCTCAAACTCCTGGGGCTCAAGTGATCCTTGTGCCCCAGCCTCCCAAATAGCTGGGACTACAGGTGCGTGCCACCACACCTGGCTCAAACTTTTATTTTGGCATCTTTTGTACAATGTTTTTGTATATCCTCTACCTAAAATGACTTTCCTTTCTTCACTAGCTTTCCTTAAGTCTTAGTTTAGGTGTCATATTTCAGAGAAATCTCCCTTTTCTGTCCTCTGATCTGTGCACTTTGCATCATCATTTATCAGTGGTGTGTTCTCTGCATTGTGAATCTGAGGGCAGGAATCTCAATCCTAATTATCTCTATCCTCCTAAAGGTTTTTTCTTTCTTCCTACACAGGTTACATTCACTGTTGTGTTCTGAGAAAAGGTGTTCAGGCCTTGCTTTCTGCTTCTAAAATTACTAACTGCCCAGGACCATCAGTTCATTTCTTCAACTGTGGCTCCAACAGATCTTTCGCTGTTTGCTGGCCCAGGTATTGCTCTCCTCTGCCCCGAGTCAATGGCAGCTGGGAGTGGTTACCACTTCCTTCTCTTACCACAGTTCCTTCTCTACCACAGTTCTGTTTTGTATGTCATTCCCCTAGCCCAGGATGATCAGCCACTTTCATTTACGTTCATTATTACACCTTATTATCTGTGCAACCAAGCCAGTCTCTCCTACAGCCACTCGTGCTTTCCAAAGGGAAAGGTTGAAATTTTCGGTTTTGTCCTACGTGAGGGGTTGTGGGGAGTAGGGGTGGAAATCACTGTAGATTATCAAGTAATCCTTTTTTTCTTTGTGTACTTTTGGAATAAATCTAGATTATGTTGATGTAACTGTTAGGACATTTCTGTTTCTTCATCTCTAAAGGAGCTGGGATCTGATATTTCTGTTCATATTCCTTCCAGCATGAACATTTTATGGCTAATTAGATATTAACTTATTTATTAGGGATATTACATATACACACTGGGTGTGTCCCTACACTGTTAATTTGGGTTGGAACTGAAAATATACTTTCTGTGTGTGCCTACTGCTACTGTAGTGAAGTTCTTGAGCCAGGTCTGTTCAGTCATATTGTTGAAAAACTGTATGAATATTTATGAAGGAGAAAGAGCTGATAGGTACCATGAACATTCACTGTTGTATATGCATATGGTTTATATTGTGTTCTGTGTCAGTATTGCCTACCAGAGCTGTCTCAACATTAGCTCTGATTCTCTGTCTAGCATCTAGACCAGAGACTGGCACGTAATAGGAGCTCCAAAGAAATACTTGTTGAAAAAGTGCATAAACTAATTTTTGAACATTTTATTATGTGCTGGGCACTGTGCTAAGTATTCTATGTATGTTATTTCATTAACCCTCAAACCTTCTGAGATTGGTACTGTTTGTTAGTATGTTATAAATTTAGGAAGTAAGTTGAAGAAATTTAGGTTCAAATAAGTTAAGTGACTTCCTCAGGATTACTCAGTGCCTGACTGGCAAAGATAGGATTTTAACTTAAGTTTTTCTGTCTCTGAGTTCCATCAACTTAACTACCATATCCTTATAATACCTACCCACTAGTCAAATTAAAATCTAATAAGAAACTGTGTAAAAGCATACTTAGATTGAGAGGAAATAAGAAATTTGGTTATTGTTTTAGCACTCACCTTTAGACATAGAAGTTTCTCCATTTCTTTTCAGGGCCTGGGGTAAGGCAAAGTGTGCACATCTGCTCTGTATATTAAAATATCCCCTCAACTCATTGAAGTGGAACAAAAACAAGGTCACTTGACAGGACTGTAATTGTAATCACACTATACAGCTTTACTTCCTGCCCTTTAGTAGTAGGACCATTCCCTTGTCCTTAAACATGCTTCTAAAATACCAGTTTTAATGGCTATATAGTCTTTCATTTATGATTGTATAAGGATTCATTCTGTCATTGTATTGTCATTCACATAGGTTGTTTTCAATCATAAAATACTGTAATGAACATCTGCAAGTTTAGATTTTTGCTCTCACCTATTGTTTCCTCAGACAACTGTAAGTAGTAGAATTGATGGATTAAAAGATACTTTTTAAAGGCTCTGACTCTTCTAAAATGTGTTGTTAAACTCCTCAGATCTGCTAACCAGATCTTTATGCTGTACTTGTGTGATTTATTTCGAATCTAAGTGAAAGCCTTTGTATTAGTTACCCTGTTAAATCCCATCTTGCCATTTGGGCAGCCTATTCTTAGTGTGTTTTCTCTGATATCAGTTAACATTATATTGGCTAATTCCATAGAAACTAGGAGACTGGAAAATGAAGATAATGTGGAAAAACAAGAGCTTGTGAATTTGGGAGTGCCCTGTTCTTTTAAGATGTGATGTGGGTTAAATGATAAACAATGCATCTTAAATTCTTTAAAAGTGGCAGAAGTAAATGGAATTTATCTGGAAAAAAATCAGGCGTTTATTCTGATGCCCTAAATTCAGGGGTGAAATATTATCTGGACTAGAGGAAAATTTTATGTACATTATATGGTGTTCTCTATTTTGACAAGCTTACTTTGATATTACTGCTGCAAGGTAGCCCCAGGAGGGTTGAATTGAGAAGAACTGAGTATTTTGAGGAACAAAACCTAGGATAGTAGGCTGGAGGGAATTGGAGGTCAGGGTTTTAGCCATGTATACAGAGATAAGCAACATATTTAATAAAAAGAAAAGGAGAATCTATATAGTATGCTTTACTCCAAAGCTGGATGAGGGAGAAAAGAGGACACGTCTCCTTGAGAAGGGGGCATGTGTTGAGAATGGAGAAAAGGGGTAAGGCAGATTACTCAGAAGAACTGGGGTAGAAGAATAGGTTGGATGATAAAAGGGGCTGACATTAGTCCCTGAAAGTTTTTTTTAAATAACTTCCAACTTTTGCCTTCACCTTTGCCAGCAGTGATGTGATCTGCTTTCAGCTGTAGTGAAGCAAACTGCATAAAGGACATTGTGCATGTTAGGTCTTTTACTTGCCTGTTGGTACATGTTTGTAATATTTGGAAATACTCTCACTGCGAAGAAAAGTATAGTTGTGCTGTAGTGGGTAGGGTGAGGAAAATAAGGGTCATCACCAGCAAAGTCAGAGTGATGAAAAAACTGGATTACAACACTCTGCTTGACTTTGCATAGATAAGTAAGCCAAGCAGAGTGTTTCCTGGATGTAGTTAAAATACAAGCTTGGAGCACAGGTAAAAGGCCAAGAGGCTTGGAGATGTACATCTGAGATGTACCAAAGGGCCAAGTGCAAAGTAAGTTTGGGAAGTTTAGTGTCATATAAAAACTAATAAAGAAAGGGTGGTACTCTGTCTCATATCCTGAAACGTTTTGAAAAGAATATTGAATTTGACCAGAAGGGCATTGCTAGTGAATTTCAAAGAGAGATTTCAGTTGAGCTCTGAACTGGAGGAAGATGGGTGATAGAAGGCTGGAGAGGGCCAGTAACAAGGGTTGAAAAAGGAAAGAGTATTCAAGCGTATGCATAAAAAGACTACGGGTAGGTTGTGTAGATGATGACACACTAAGCCTGGGAAGACAAGGTTTCGGTGCTAATTTTTATTTCTTTAACAAGGGTGATAGAAATATCTGTTCCATATATTAATACTATACACAACTGTTTACCTCTCAGCTTTTCTAGCAAGACATATGGGCTTGTGAATTAACCCTGGGTAGCCCTGGCATTAGATAGAATTAATAGTGCTTCCATATGTGACCTCGAGACGTACTGAAATGAGGCAACCAAGGAAATCCTTTATATTGGGACCAAGAGCCAAGATCTCAACTTGGGATATGTTACCCCGAGAGTTGTTACCCCGATACTATAATACCATGAATAATAACCCCAAGGGTCCTGTTGTCTCTTTTTCCTCATGTCACTTCCTTTGGTACTAACTGTCACCATGCTAACATCTGCAAACTTTGAAAATTCTGATTTATTCTGCAATATTTGGAAATTTCACTGCTAGTAATTGTATTTCCTGGCATGGTTCTGATATAATTTTCTGTGTACACAGTAGCTTTTCCTTTTAGTGCTGAATCACACTGAAATCCTTGTTTAACCTAAGTTATAGTTGCAAGGGAGCTATCAAGACAAATAATTACAGTGATGGTGAAGTGAATACAAGTCAAACATCCCAATCTGAAATTCAAAACCTTTTGAGCACACCAACATGATGCCACAAGTGGAAAATTCTGCACATAAGTACTTAACATGACCTTTGTTTCATGCTCAAAATTATTTCAAATATTATATTAAATTACCTTCAGACTATATATATAAAGCATATATGAAACATGAATGAATTTTATACTTAGACTTGGGTCCCATTCCCAAGATGTCTCATTATGTATATGCAAATATTCCAAAATCTGAAAAAAATCCCAAATCCAAAACACTTCTGGTCCTGAGCATTTTGCATGAGGGATACTCAACTTGTAATCTTTTCTATGTATAGCCAAGTTTGCACATACATAGGTTACAACAACCCATCATGTCTTAACCTTTCAGTCTGGAGGCTGGAGTTTTCTTTTTACTTTGATTGTAAATTGTATTCAGATTTTAGAAATGTAAAGCTTAGAGAAATGTGCATCTCAAGATTAAGAAAGCTATGCCCACTGTTAAAGACTGGGGCATGGAAACAAAGTTGGACAGTGTAGTAGAAAGGTCCTAAACAGGGGATTTGGTTCTTATTTTTGCTATCAAGCAGAAGAGTCAAAACTGTAGGAGTCTAAACCAAATCAGGTCCACCTGGGAGTCTTTAAAGTTCAGGGTTACTTAGCATGGGGATAGTGGTATAGCAAATAGTTGCGTAGGTTTCACTCGTGGGCTGGTGATAATATAGTGAGGATTCACATCCGCCTGTAATCTGGGTAGAATATTTGTATAAATCATTTTGGTTTTTTGGTTTTCTTTTTAAAATTTTTAAAATTGTTTTGCTTTTCTTAAGTTTTGGTTTCTACATTAATAAAATGACAGAACTGAATTGCCTAGATGATATTCAAAGTTTCATGTGGTTCTGTTAGTCTGGGATTCTACAGTGGAATTTTGTCACTACTTTTGGGAAGAAGTTTACCTTTGGTGGCCTACGAATAAAAACCACATTGGCACAATGCCATTTATCATATGGGATAATTCTGTGTGTTTATATAATCATTTATGTTCGTTTCCAAATGTGTTAATAAAGTACAGTATCTCATTTGATTAGCTCAGATGATGAAATAGGTCAGAGAGGTATTATGTTTATTTTCCTGATGAAATAAAACATCGTAGTTAGCATCTTGAACAATTTAAATTTGATCATCTTACTTGGTATGCCAGCCACTAAGGATGAAATCCTGCCACTGAGAAAGAAAACCCAGTCAGGAAAGCTTTCTCACCCTTATCTATCTAACAAATTGTACATATTCTCCAAGTTCTGACTTGAATGCTGGTGAAGCTTTTCTTGATAATCTCTTCTACCGCAGCAGAGTAGAAACACTTTGATCATTCTTCTCAGGACTCAGGATTTTAATTATCTGTTTAATGCCTTTCCCTTCCACCCTAGTGAACTACTCAAGTGCAAATACCTTGTCTTACTCATCTCTGCACCTCATAGCCCACACTGTACCTGGCATATAGAGATGCTTAGTGAATAATTGCAGAATTAAATGAAAGAGTCAAGGTGATGTGTTGCAGAGTGAGGAGAACTTGGGCTTTGGGCTGGCGGAAGGAGGTGTCTTCGTTTACGTTTTTTAGATTGAAATTTTGCCATGTATATGCGTTTAAAAATTTAAAACCTAGTTGAATAAAAGGTTGGGGGGGGCAGTATCCAGGGGCCAAATCTATCTATTAATAAAATAAATTTGAATTTTTTAAAAAAATGGCAATTAAAACTCATGTTCATGGAAAAAATTAAGTTCTTATTTTAGTTTTTCCCTAAACGATCTTGCCGTATCACATAACAGCAGTCTTGTAGTCAATCAAGACTGACTTCAAGTGGTGAAATGGAATTTTTTAATTCCCTGAAGAGAGAAATCTTTACCTAGTTAAGCTTTGTGTTATCTTGATGTTTTTATTTGTCTAGTGACCTCTTCTGATTGAAAGAGTAGTTAAGAAAAACCCTTTAGTACTGACTTTTTCAAATTTACCGTAATGTAATGACCTCTTTGAAAGGAGAAGTACAGAGTGTATTTTTCATAATGTTACTTAAATTCTGTAGACATGAAACTAGATATAAAACCCTTATGTTCTTGGCTCATACACCACTATAAACCAAATCTGCAAATTAAATACAAAGACAACTACAAAAAAAAACAAAATTCAAATGAATACAATTATTCCATGTGACAGATGATGTTTAGGTTTTGCAGTAGAAAAAAATAGCTTTAGGTCTAATTCCATTTTAAATGTGTTTCTGTATTTTAACTTCAGTGATAATAAAAGCTGTGAGTAGTGCCTCTTCTCATCAGTAATGTTATGCAGGAGGGCATTAATGACTTCAAGGCCTTGTTGGTAAGTTCAGGATGAGACATCATACCTAACCAAAACACTTGACAGCAAGCATTCCTCAAATACAGGCTTATAAGTTTTACTGAGATGTCATCCATTTTGTTCATTGGAAGATAAGGTTAATATCTTGACATTATTGAAATCTTCATTAAATGATTTTCTAAACCAGTTATTGCTGGAAATGAGAATGGAAAAACATTGCATACCTACAATTATATTTACTGCTAACAAATGTTTGCAAATTGTACTACACATGTAGGACCCATATAGCACTTGCATATAATAAAGTACATATATGGTATTGGCTGTTAGGCTATTGGCTTTTGAATATGCATGCCATGCCTGTATTGCCATATGGTCGATTCAAATTCCCTTTATTTTTTACTCTTTCTTTTACAATGACCATGAAACTTATGCTGTGTGTAGTGTGCCACAAGGACATTTGGCCTGAAGGGGATCTTCACACAGCTGAAGAAGCAGCAGTGAAAGCCTAGTGCCAGTGTTGAGACAGTGGCTACTCATGATCTTGAATGTTTATCCTTGTTTTTAGATTATCTTTGAAGTGAAAATATGTTCTCAAACCTTGTACCCAACTTATACATCCTTTTTTTCTCCCAGCATATTTGGGAGACATTGTTTTAGCAAATATTTTTCTGATCACTATCTAAGGAGCCAGGATTCAGAGATGTGAAAAACAAAACAAGCTTGGCCCTTCCTGAGGCAATGAAAGACCCTTTAACAGCAAGCTATAAATAGATTGATTTGTGCTGTTCTAAAGGTATGCAAAGAGCACTATGGAACATATTGAAAGGAGATACCAATTATTGTGAAGGTAAGGGCGAGGTTTAGAGCACATAATGGCAAAGATCCTGTTGAAATAGGGTCTTAAAGGATGAGTCAGATAAGAAGATAGGTTTAAACTAGACAGAGAGATGGTATATGTAAAGACCAAGGTCATGAAAGACATTATTATTATAATGGTGAGAGGTGTGTGGCCCTAGATAGCATTTGCCATGTGAGAAGTAAATTGGAACCCCAAACTAAAAGTCTTGTTAGGCTAGGTGTTTAGCCCTTATCTCATCAGCATAGGGGAGCCATGGTGATCTGAGAACTGGGAGAGTATTCAGGGCAATATTTTTTATGTATAGCGGTTACCACATTGTATTACAGTGTTCTCCTTCACTTGTCATTGGAGCTCTTCAAGTGCTGTGACCATTAGTTATTAATCTTTGTGTGCTAAGCTTTTGGTAGAGTAACTGATAAAAGTAATGCTTAGAAAACATGGGTTGAATGACTAATCATGAGTAAAGAGGATTTAGGAGAGAATTATGACAATGTCCTTCGGTGGTAGTTTTAATGCTTTGTGGGTCACAGACTCCATTGTGATTGACTTGGAAAGCTTTTCCTTGAAAATGTAAATACATATAACATTTGGCTTATAGTTTTATGGGATTCATGTACCTCTGAAGCCAGTCCATGAATTCCTGGTTCAGAATTCCTCCTTAGGAAATCATACCCAGACAGCCATCACCATCACACCTTGTCATGAATAATTACTGTCTCTTTTAGCAGTCTTTATTACGATTGTGTCTCTTTCTTGTCATTTCCTTGAGTTTCTTTCATACTTAGGAAGCAAATAGCTGACCTGTCTATGAATAAAGAAAGCGTTTTTAATAATGATTAAGGTAAAACTTTACTGGTCTGTAAAGATAATAGACAAGTATGTGAATTAAGCCAGCAACCAAGAAACAGCTACTTGAGGGAGAACCTGACATTCCTGAATTTGAGTTGAGCAAGTGAGTTGGGAGTCTGCAGGGCCATCCTCAGACTTGGTTTGCTAGAAGGACTCACAGGACTCAGAAAAGCTGTTACAGTCATGGTTATAGTGTATTACAGCAAAACCATACAGTTAACATCAGCAAAAGCAAAAGGCACCCGGGGTGAAGTCTAGGAGAAATCAGACACAGGTTTCCAGGTGTCCCATTCCAGTGGCATAGCATAGATGGCCTTAATTCTCTCAACAACAATGTGTGACAGCATGCACGAAGTTGTCAACCAGGGAAGTTCGCTTGAGCCTTGGTGTCCAGGGTTTTTACTGTTGGTCAGTCACTTAGGCTTGCAGCATCTGCATGACAGGCTTCAGCCCCTCAGACTTCTCCTACCCGGCCCCCCAGCAGTAATAGGTGTTCACTGTAAATCACATTGTTAGAATAAGCTGTCTGACAAAATTGGTACCATGTGACCCAAGGCCTCAGGCATACAGAAATATTCTTATCAGGGAGAATATTCCAAAGGTTCAGAGCTCATCTACCAGGAGCCAGCCAAGGCCAGTTTTGAAGACAAGTCTTTCTTGGGAATATGCAGGGTTTGAGCAACTCAGTCCTGCTGAGTTAACCCTTTCTTGTACAGCAAGTTAGCTCTTCAGGGAGTTAGCTCTGTCTATCCTGCCCCTGTCTGCCTAGCCACTCCTTTTCTAGGTAGAGTGGACCTTGCTGTTCACGTCATAGATGGCCATTCCGTGTACCTAGACTCCTTTTTATTCCTTTGCCAACAAGTAATTGGAATGTTTGGATTTAAGAACATGTCTGTGCTTTGCAATTTCATGTGACCATGGTGAAATTATGCACACATTCTATCATTGTGATTCAACAAGTATTTTTTGAATGCTGCTGTGCATGAGGCATGGTGTTAGATGGCAGATTGACAGAAATGACTAATACAGGTATCTGGCCTCAAGGAGTTTACAGTTTCATAGGAGAAAGAAAAACAAAACTAGCAATTCTGGTAAGCAGTATGTGTTTTGGAGAGCACTTAACTTCATCAGAGAGCATGGTTGAAGGTGTATCTGTGTGTATGAGAAGGTGTTGGTGATAATTAGAAGGCTTCCCTAAAGAGGTCACTCCTGGGGTTGAGCCATAAAGATCAAGTAGATACAAGTGGGCATGAAGCTAGTATTTTGCTGCCAGTCATTTCTGTAGTTAGGTTGCCTATGTGGTTGGAGCATGTATGTATTGTTACAGGTGTAGTCTGCTTGGCTTCCCTAAGAGAATGCCCCAGTCCTGGCCAGAATATACATGTCTTTTTTAGGGTTTGCACCAAGGGGAATAGAGAGTGTCTGGCTCAGTACAAATCTGTTTCCGTTACTCCATTATCCAGAAAGCCACTGAAATGGCATTAGCCTACACTTAATGGGTGGTAGTGTTTTCACACATTGCTTCTCAAAGGAGGAGTATGTGAATGTTTAGTTTGGGCCTGGTAAAAAAAAAAAAAAAAAAAAAAAAGTATAACCATTACAAATTTAAATGTACTTTGTTTCTAATGGGAAGGCAAATGCTTGCCTTGCTTTGATGAAATTGAACATAACAAAATTTTTCTATACTTGGAAGCAAAAAACTTCAGGAAAAAACCTGGGTCCAAATGTTGCTACATTTCCTTGGGCTTCCACGTGTATGTGGTTCTTAATATAATTTGAAACTTCTAAGAGCAACAAATAGTTGTTTTTTGCTTCTAAGAGCAACAAACAGTGCATAGAAATTGTGTGATAATAGGATCAAGAATGTATTATTAGAGTGAATATTGGATAATTTCAAACTGTTAACCTTGAGATTTTTTCTAAGAATCTTTCTCTTTTTCCAGCGTTACAGTGTTTCTGCCACCTCTGTACAAAAGACAATTTTACTTGTGTGACAGATGGGCTCTGCTTTGTCTCTGTCACAGAGACCACAGACAAAGTTATACACAACAGCATGTGTATAGCTGAAATTGACTTAATTCCTCGAGATAGGCCGTTTGTATGTGCACCCTCTTCAAAAACTGGGTCTGTGACTACAACATATTGCTGCAATCAGGACCATTGCAATAAAATAGAACTTCCAACTACTGGTAAGTTGTATAAAATTTTTTTCCTAGATACTACAAGAAAAACTCTTCATACTCTGTGATTTTAGAACTGGAAGGGATCATAAAAATTGTCTAATCCAGCTCATTCCGTTTAGAGGCAAGAAGTGACTTGTCCATTGTTACAGACTTATAAGAGTAACCAAGATCCTGCCTCCTGGGTATGTGTTGTTTAAGAAGGTGGTTCCAGGGTGGACTTCCTCTGAGGTCTGTTATACCTAAAAGGATAGATAAAAGCAAACTCTGACAAAGCCCACAACAACATCTTCAGATTGTCTCTACTTTGTTCTCAGAGTGAATTTCTTCTTCCTTGTATAATGCTCCTATCTTTTAAAGCAATCACAGTCTTTTAATGAGTGGGGATTCAGAGCAGCACTTAACAGTCTAGATGTTTTCATTTTGTAATTTCAGCTTGTTTTATGATCTTTTTGCGTAAATTAATTATACATGATTTCTAGATTTTTGGTCCTTCACCTGTAGTTTACATTTAAAATTTCCTGGGGCTGGGTGCGGTGGCTCATGCCTGT